>NC_000010.11:56355216-56506731 GCF_000001405.40 Homo sapiens
AAGAAAGAAAATAAACAACAGGAATGAAAAATGGGATAGCACACAAATATAAAAAACATTAAAAACACTCATTTTAACATTTCTAAGAGTTATACAGGTAATGCCCACAAGCTATTGACAGAAGTTAACACAAATTCTCTCAATTTTGTATCAGGCCGTAACGGTAAAATTTAGGAAAAATAGGCAGCTCAAAGTAAAACTACATGAACTATATTAAACAGGGAGTATGAGAGATAGGCCAATAAAGTTATATATTATGAACCTTTCCAAAAAAGATAATGAAGTGTCCATATATTAAGATAATAAAAAATAAGCTCGTATGTATACCTACTATGTAGTCAAATACATCAAGAATTAAAAAAAAAAATTTAAAAAGCTCAAAATGTAAGCCAGAAGAAAATATTCAAAAGCAGTAGTAAATTGAGATCTAATACAACTTATTGAAATGAAAATCAAAGATCAAAAATTAAGAAACTGATGAAAAAACAATAGCTTGGCTATATAAAGTTAAAATAGAAAAAGCATCTAGAATGCAATCTCAGAAAGAGCAATGGTAACTACAAAAGAAAGTTTGCATGACATGAAGAAAAAAGTTAGAAAATTTGATTGATGTCTAATTGGCATTTTAGAATAAGCTAATACAAAAGAGGTGTTTTTTAAACAGATAAACTGAAAATATTCCAGAATTGTTGAAAGAGTGGCAATTTAGAAAGCTCAACTATTTGCAAGCAGAATGAATGAATAAATAAGTAAACCAGAGTCCCAAACTATTCACAATATAGTAAAACTATAGAGCACTAAATACAGGTGTTAAAAGCACTAACTGGGTAAAAAAATGCATAGGAAGGGCTTTTAAACTGACAGTTGACTTCTCATCATCAAGGATCAAAACCAGATGACCAGAGAATCAGTTGAGTTAATCTTCAATGTGTTAAGTCAAACTGCCTACCAAGCATTCTCTACATAATAAAAACATTTCTCAAGAATAAGGATGAAATAAAAATATTTTCATAGTAAAATTTAAAACATTATACAGTCTGCAAACTCTAAGGGAAATTCTGAGACATTTATTTCAGATGGAAAAAGTATTCCACATGAAAGCTCTGAAATGTAAAAATAATGTGGGCAAAAATAGTAAATAAATTAGTAATAAAGCATTGACTGTATAAAATAATTTAAAAAATTAATTTATGAGAACACAAACAGGCTAGAAGTAATAAACTGGACAAAAATACCTTAATAGTTTAGAGTGGGATGATCTATCAATGGTTACAGCTGTTTAGGCTTCATTTATTAAGAAAAGGATGAAGAGTCTTTAATTCTTTAAATAACTTGAGACATTGCTAACTATGAAAGCTAAACTAGCCGGTCTAAATTAGACCTTCTAAACAAACAAACAACAAAAAGCATGAAGAAACAATAAAAAATAAAAGGCATGAAAGGGATAAATAAAAAGCCAAGAGAAAGCAAATAAAAAATTGACACAACTAGAAAATCATAAAGACAAATGTGACAAGAGTTTTTTTTTTTTTTATAAATAACCCTTTAAATGCTGTATACAAGTGGTAAATATAAAGAAAGGTTGAAACTAAAAAAGAATGGAAATTCAAGAGAAAGGATGTCAAGCAAAGGGTAACCAAAAGAATTGACAGTTATATTAATATTAAAACTAGTAGTTTTCAAGGTTAAACACATTAGCCTATAGATGAAGCAGGCTACCACACAAAGAGTTCAGTTCAGAAGAAAAATATAAATGTAAATTTACATATACCTTAATAAAGTAACTGCAAAGTATGTAAGAAAATGGAACTATAAAGACAAATGCACAAATCCACTATCATAGTTGGAGATTTGAACACACCTCTCAGGTGACAGACAACAAAAAATTAAGTATATAAGATATAAATTGAAACAAAAATTGCAAACATAATCTAATAGAAAATACTACACACAATCTAAAATGCATTCTTTCCAAACCTATGTGAAACATTAAAAAAGATGACATCACTCTTTATCAGTAAAAAAGATAATTCACTCACCAAATTTCAAAGTTTATTAAACAGATGATATTCTCTGACCAAATTAAACTTAGATTATCTTCTCACAATCAATAGAAGACCAAATTATTTTTCAAAGAAATTTATGAATCAATGAAATAATTATAACAGAATATAGGAAATGCTATGAATTGAATGATTGTGAAAATAAAGGAAGTCAGAAGAAATGTATAACCTTAAATATTTATTTGAGAAAACAAATAAAGATCCAAATACGTGAGTTGATCATCTGATAAAAGTAAGAGTTGACAAAAAAGGTACATCTTCTCCAATCCGAAAACAGAAAGTGGGAAAGATCAAGGTATCACTAGAGGTCAATGAAACAAAACATACAATAGTGGATGACAAAAGCCAATCTCTGAATCTTTGAAAAGAATATAATAAATGAACATCTGAAACCAGTGATCGAGAAATGTTTTAGATAAGGCACAAAAAGATACCAAGAATGTTAACACTAGGCTGTACATCCTAAAACAGTCAGATGAGCTCACTGTTATAATTCTGGTTCACCGCAAGAACCTTAGCACAAAGAAAGGACTCAACAAACATTTGGATCCATGAATAAAATTATCTTCCCACATATAACCACCTGCCTAAAACATTCTCCTCCTCCTTGAATTAAATTCACCATGTCTGCATCATAGGAGGCCCAAGGCCAGTACCCCCTCCCCATCTGCACACCCTGTGTTCAAACCAGTCCCAGCTCCTGTCATGTTATTGGCTTCTGAGTATCTGTATTAATAGTTGTTCCTGCCAGCATATGAAGATGAACAAATACACAACTGAGAGAGATCCAGGGATTTTAATCCACAGATGCCAGAGCTTGCTGGGATGTAGTCAGAAATCAAGCTGAACTCAGGAGTTCACAGTCTTTCCTGTAATGATGGTTGGGAGGTGAGGGAAGTCAGAGGCCTGGGGAAGAAGACAGGGGTTAGCTCTGGGTGGGCTAAGCATGGGAATGAGGTGTAACATAAGCTCTTTCCTGTTCCCACCATCCATCTGCTCCATGGGTAGCAGAGCTCAGATGCAGAGAGAGGTAAACCAGGCTTTCCCTCCTTCCACACTTGCAGTCCAGGGACACCAAGGCCTGAGTTGGGTCTGACCTTTTCTAGGATCTTTCTCCATGCTGCTGTCCTCCAGGAAGTCATGGCAAATTTACATCTCCAGCAGGTTGTAGACCAACAGCCTTGGAGAAATACAGTATAGACAGTGGGTAAGGCCAATCTCCCAGCTTCTGTCTCCACCTGCCAGCCCATGCCCACCTGTTCCATCTCTCATTTACCTTGAAGGACACACCAGGGTCTCTCCCCATGGTGTCTCCTGTACTCTGCTCCTGGGGTCGAGTCGGCTGCTGGGGTTTATCATCTGGAAGATTCTCTGCCTCAGCCTCAGCCTCAGGGAACAACAGCTTACCCTGCAGGGTATACAGAAGCTGGAGGAAGGTCTGATACCTACAAAGAGGAGGTAAGTGTGAAGGAAAGGAATCTCAGCTGGACCATTTTGAATCTGCAGCCCATGCTCCCGAACTTACCTCTGCAGCTTGTCCCGCTCCTGTTCTGCCTGCTGCTTCAGGTTTCCAAGTTTCTGAAACACCCTGTCAAGCTCCTGCTGAGTCCCTGTCTTACGCTCCCTCACCTCTGCAGAAACCTCCGCCAGATGCTGCAGATGCTTCTCCTGCCAGGAGTGAGCATGCAGACATTATGCATCAGATGTTGAAGTCTTAGAAACTCCCTCCAACCCCTCCAGCCTACACCCAGCTCAGGGCTCAGGCTCAATGATGAAAAGAGGGACTCTATTCACTTCAGGGTGGAGTAGGGGCCTAGAGAAAAGGAAAGATCAGAATGAGCTGTTCTAGGGTGAGGCATTCTTGCGGGGAAGGGGCACAAAGGTGATAACACTTATTTAACTTGCTATGTGCCAGGTACTATTTTAAAGTCCTTGCTGTAATGATCATTTAATCATCTTAATAACTCTCTAGAGTAGGTGGTATTATTGCCTTCATTTTAAATAAAGAAACAGAAAGTTAGGTGACCTGCCCAAGATCATGCAGTGGTAAGTGGTGACACTGAGATTCAAGCCCATGTTGGTATTTATATTATAGTGCCTCAAAGGAGGAAGCAAAACGGTTTTCTAGACAGGGGACACAGCCGATACAATGGCATGGTGGTGGGAAGGGATATTCTCCTAGGGGGACGAACCTACCTGTTGTAGCTGCCACTGGTTCTGGACTGCTCTGCGTTTCTCCATGGCCATTTGTTTCTACAGATAAGCAAGGGAGAAAGACCAAGAGAAGTCTATTTTTTCTGGCTAGAATTTTGGGAGATTGCAAGCTGGCACAACTCAGCTTGCTCACTCTTTCCCTCTTCCTTTCTAACTGCCCTTCCCTCCCTGTACTCAAGACCCCTGGGTGTACCTTGGCCTGGAGCTGCTCAAAGGCTTCCCGGAGTTGTGTCCGTTTCCTCTGGGCTTCCTCCATCTGAGTCAGGGCCTTGGTGAGGCCAATTTTGATGGCCTCTACGTGCTCCCTGTAGGTGGCCTTCAGCTCTTTCCATTGTTCCTTAGCTGCAATTGCCTTCTGTCCTGAGATGAGCCACCAGGAATGAGTACATGAGTGAGGGTGGCCTGCTAGCCTGCCTCCCTGCAACACTGGGCCTCCTTCCCATCAGCCAAATGGGAGACCTAACTGAAATCCTCCTTCCTTCCCCACTCAGGTCAGCTGCTACTACAATCCCCTGCCTACTCACGGCTCGTGTCTTCAGAAGCCAAGGGGTCGAGACCCTTAGCAGTGTCCTCCTGAGCCAGGATGTTCTGCAGGAAATCCGCTACCTGAAGCTGGCTGCAGAGCAGCTTGTCTTTCTTCTGAGAGTCCTGCTCAGAGGGAGGGCAGAGACAGGGAACATCCTTACCTCCTTACAGGTTTCCTTAAGTCTGCTCTCTGCCAGTGCTGCCCTGTATCTCAGTAAGAGGAGCCAGGACCAGACCCTGGCTTCTGAAAGGCTCGCTCTCATCTTGTACATACCACCACAAACTCAACCAGGATCTTGGCTGGCAGTTCTGCCTCCTCCTGCAGGCCTACAGGTTCCAAGATGCCTGCCACCTCAGCCAGGACCCTGGAGGGGCAAGGAAACACAGGAAATTGCAGTTTCTTGTGGTGCTAGTTCTACAGTTCGTGTGTGTACACAAACAAATGTGGATGTGTATATCAGTATATATAGTATTGAGAGTCTTGCCTTGACCAGAGTTTACACAAGGGCCTGAAGGGTCCACAGCCTGCAACCAGGAATGGCGTGCATGGAGGGCACACGGTGGTAATACGTGCCAAAAGGAAAATCAGCAGGGCTAGTGGATAAGGAGTTTGAGAAAAGAGCTGAAATTTTAAATAGGGAGTGTCTCACTGAAGAGAAATCATTTGAGTCAAGATGTGAAGGAAGCCAGGGAGATATGCAAGGAAGGGGAAGAATGCTGGGCCTTGGGATCCCTCCTGGCGCTGAGCACCAGCCTTGGGGCAGAGTCTTGGAATAGCTGAGAAAGGACTCAGGGCAGAGGGCTGGATGCCTCGGTCTACTCTAGGGTTTTTCATTATTAGGGACTGGAGCAATCTACGAAGGGGCAGGGATGGGGATGAGAAGTGACTGGGAATGTGTCGTGTTGGGACAAGAAGACAGAAGTGAAACCGTCTCCTAGAGCACATCCTGTGGATTATGTGGATGTGGGGAGCGGCGAACGGTCCCCCAAAGGCTGTACTCCTGGAGCAGGCAACAGACACCTCAGGAACCTAAGACGGGACTGCGGTGAGGATCACTTCACGGCAGGGTCGAACCTCAACAGCTGTACAGGGTCGAGGGCACCAATCATTACACATAGGGGCCCACAAGGTCCTCCCAGGCCCGGCCCCAGCTGCCACTTAGCCGCAAACACTTACTCTAGGGCTGCAGCTTCCGCCTCTGTCTCCGCTGCCTCCATCTTTCCAGGCGCCGAGTTCAGCTGCCTTCCCACAATCCCTAAGATTACTTTGAAGTCACAGTCGACTTCGCGCCGGGGCAGGCGATTGGCTGCAGAGGTTAGTGGGCGGGCATCAAGGACCATTGTGCGCTCTAATTGGCAGGCGCGGATTCGCTCGTTGGCGGGCCTCGCTGCTTGGCGCAAGCGCGGTTATGGCTAGGCGCGCACGGGCTCTGCGCCTGCGCGCTAGTCCTTACGCGGTGCCAGAGACTATAAGTGGGCTTGAGCTCGACCGCGCGCCTGTGGAAGTTCTTTCTCTACTCGAAAAAGGGAAAGCATTTCCTTGAGTTTGCGTTTTAAGGGAAACTTACAGCATTGACACTTTATTTAAAATATTCACTACTGCTGTAGAAAAAAAAAAACAAAACCCCGAAAAACAGTGGGGCTGTTTCTAAGACGCTGGGAATCAGTAAAGAATAGTGATCCGGGAGATACAGGAAGCAAATGATCTGCGCTCAAAAAGCGAGCTGCTTTCAAAGATATTAGTATTTTATAGATGCGATGCAGGAGAGTGAACTCAAGCAGAGCCCAGCCGATTGCCTGCGTTGGCAAAATAGAACAGATATTCTGGGGAGACCAAGGTAGGTAATGTTCTTTGCAGAGTACAGGAGAAAGATAACTGCTGAGAGAGAACTTGGTATTCATTCAGCTGAGTACTGAGCAGTATGTGTCTCAAGAAACTAGCTAAAAGATTTTTAAAGATACCAGGACATGGCCGGTCGCGGTGGCTCACGTCTGTAATCCCAGCACTTTGTGAGTCTGAGGCAGGTGAATTACGAGGTCAGGAGTTTGAGACCAGCCTGGCCAACATGGTGAAACCCCCGTCTCTACTAAAAGTACAAAAAAAATTAGTTGGGCGTGGTGGTGGGCGCTTGTAATCCCAGCTATTCGGGAGGCTGAGGCAGGAGAATTGCTTGAACCAGGGAGGCTGAGGTTGCAGTTAGCCGAAATTGCGCCACAGCACTACAGCCCTGGTGACAGTGCGAGACTCCGTCTCACAAAAAAAAAAAAATACATATATATATATATATAAATATATATATATGGACATTACAGAGGGTCAGAAATAGTCTCTATTTCCACTAACCAGGCTGGAAAACTTCATAGTCCGTAGGACACTGGACAGAGTACACACAAAAAAGTCTTGATTTGATAGTTGTTTACTAATTATTTAGTAGGCAGTAATTAGTCCTAGCTGATCAGTGCTGTAGTGCCATCTAACTCTTAAAAGTAAGACCCAAATGGATCAAACTTAACAAACCATGACAGATGACAAGACCAAACTTCAGCAGTATTTATAGAAATAGAAAAATGTTCACCAAAGGTGCAATTTACATATGTCATACAAAGAAAAATTACCAAGCTTGCAAAAAGAAAAAAAAAAACACATAATGAGGAGAAAAATCAATTGCTGATCAGAACTGAAGTAATGTTAGAATCAACAGGCAAGGACATTAAAACAGTTATTGTAACTATATCCCATATCTTCAAAAAGATATCAGAACTATAATGAAAAAGGTAAGTGGTGCTAAGGATGTAAAGAAAGTGGAATTCTCATGTTGATGGAAATGTAAACTGGTGCATAGGCTTTGAACGTAGGGTTACCATATGAGTCACAATTTCATTCCTAGTTATATATCCAAGACAAATAAAAACATGGGGACACAAAAGTACACAAACCTCTATAGCAGCATTATTCACAAAAGCTGAAAGGTAAAAACAACCCAAAGGCCCATTAGCTGGTGAGTGAAAATGCATACTTTCATTCAATGAAGTATTAATCAGTAGTAAAGAGAACTTTATTACATGCTAAATAATGGTTACTACATGCTAAAATATGAACCTTGAAAATATACTAAGTGAAAGAAGCTAATTACAAAAGACCACATAATATATTATTTCATTTATGTGAAATGTCTAGATTTGACAAATCTATAGCAACAGAAAGTAAATTTATATAGTGCTTGTCCAGGGCTGGGGATTGGTGGGAATGAGAGGTTGAGAGAGTATGGGGAGGGACTGCAAATGGATATAGTGTTTCTTTTAAAGGGATAAATAAAATGTTCTACACTTCGGTTATGGTGAAGGTTGTACAATTCTATACAGAAAACCGCTAAATTTACACTTTACTGCTGTCATAAAAGCTGTTAAAAAAGTTAATCAAAGACACAAAGCTTGTAATAAAGACCTAAATCAAACTTGTAGAGGTGAACACTACAATGTGATAGATGGAATTAGATGGTATTAATATAGTATGTTACACATTGCAGAATGAAAGTGAAACACAGCTCTAGAGAAACTACCCAAAATCAATCACAACATTAAAAAATGAAAATAAAGTAACATGAACAAATCAATGGTGAGCTGTGAGACAACTTCTAACAGCCTAATAATATACTTGAAAGTGGAGTCTCAGAGAGGCAAGGGGAGAGGACAAGAAAACAAGTAATAAAGACCAAAAAATTTGAAATGTGATGAAAAATATAAATTCATATATTCAAGAAGCTTCACAAATCTCAAACACAAGAAATATTAAGAAAATGACATCAAGTTATACCATAATTGCATAACTCAAAACCATTGATAAAAAATTCTAAAGTAATAAGGGGTGTTGGGGCACATGTTACATAGAAACAAAGATAAGGATTACGGGAAATTTCTTCTTGGAACAATGCAAGCAAGACAGTAGAGTAACATCTTTCAAGTACTGTAAGAATAAAAAAAAGTCAACCTTGATTTCTGTTTCCAGCAAACAGCTTTCAAAAATGAAGACTAACTAGGCTGGATGCAGTGGCTCACACCTATAATCCCAGCACTTTGGAAGGCCGAGGTGGGCAGATCACGAGGTCAGGAGATCAAGACCATCCTGGCTAACACAGTGAAATCCCCCGTCTCCACTAGAAATACAAAAATTAGCCAGGCGTGGTGGCGGGCACCTGTAGTCCCAGCTACTCGGGAGGCTGAGGCGGGAGAATGGCATGAGCCTGGGAGGTGGAGGTTGCAGTGAGCCAAGATCGTGCCACTGCACTCCAGCCTGGGTGACAGAGCAAGACTGTCTCAAAAAATAAATAAAAATAAAAAAGAAGGCTAACTAAAGACATTCTTAAACACACAAAAATGGAAGGAAATTTTCAGCATAAGATCCCACATGAAACAAGAAGTTCTTCAGGCAGAATGAAAATGGCATTAGCTTCAAATCTGAATGTATACAAAGGAGTGAAATGTGGTCCTGGCTACTTAGGAGTCTGAGGTGGGAAGATCACTTGAGCCCAGTTCAAAGCTGTGATGAGTTGGTCATGCCATTGCACTTCAGCCTGGGTAACAAAGTGAGACCCTATCTTTAAAGGAAAAAAAATTGTGATGTGGGTTTTATAACATATGTAAAAGTAAAATGTAGCACAAAGTGTGGGAGAGAAGAAATAAAAGTAAATTTATATGCTTGTATAGTTTCTCTGAAGTTTTGTTATCAGTTGAAGGTGAACTGATGAGTTAAAACTGTGTTCTAGACTCTCTGAAGCAATAGTGCCAACACACTTTAGAAGGGCTACCAGTGAGTCATTTCCTTGTGTGATTTCTTTCTTTCTAGTGCAGATAGAAATTGTGACCAATAGAATACAATAAAGGTGATGGGATGTCATTCTATTGATTAGGTTGCTTGTTAGGCAGAGGGGATAGCATGCCACTCTCATGCCTCCATTTCCATGTATAGCAGAAGCTTAGCAGACTGCACAAAAAAAAGAGGGATTCTCCTTCTGGCCTGGAAGAAGCATACAACCATGTTGTAAGTTGCCTGTGGTAGTTATCACATGGCAAGGAACTCTGAGTGGCCTTTAGGACCTGTAAATAGACCTGAGCTGATAGCCAATGAATAGATGGGGCCCTCAGTCAAACAGCCCTGAGGGGATTAAGTTTCTACAAATAATCAAATAAAAAATAACGCTACTCAGTTAACATCGTGATTGAAAACTTGTGAGACCTTGAGCAGAATGCAAAACCTTGACCCAGTGAAACTGTCTTAAAATCTTGACTTGTAGAAACTGTGAGATAATAAATGTGTTTTTTTAAGATTCTAAATTGTGATAATTTGTTACATAGCAATAGAAAACTATTATAAACTTCTAAAACAAAGAATTGTAGGTAACAAATCAATAAAGGAGATAAAATATAAACAACTAATCCAAAAGAAGGCAGAAAAAGTGAAGACGAACAAAGAAAAAAATGAAGAGAATAAAAAACAAATAGCAAAATGATAGGTATAAGCCTAAGCATATGTGTTATCACCGTTAAATGTAAATACCTTAAATATACCATTAAAAGGGAGAGATTATTAGATTGGATACCACAGCAAAATTACGTTAAGTACACTAAATATAAAGAAATAAAAGGATGGAAAAATACCATGCTAATATTAATCAGATGAAAGCTGAAGTGGCTATTTTAGGGCATATATATACACACACACACACACACACACACACACACACACACACACACACATATATATGTATATCTATATATATATATCTATATATATATAGATATATAGATATACATATATATATTTGGGCAAAAGGCTGTCACCAGAAATAAGAAAGTGATATTATCATGATAAAGGGGTCAATTAATCATGTGAACTTAATCATAAATGTTTTTGGACACCTAATATGAGATCATCAAAATACATGAATCAAAAACTGAACTGCAAGGAGAAATAGATAAATCCATAGTCATTGTTGAGATTTCAATAAGCCACTTACAATAATTTATAGAACACTGAACCTAACAGCAGAATAGTCATGCTTTCCCAGTGTATACCCAATAGTCAAGTCCATATTATGGGTCATAAAATTAGCCTGAACAATTATAAATGAATAGTACAATGCAAAATATATAGTTTTTTTGTTTGTAAACGATCTAAATAGCCTCCTACATGCATTGAATGTGATGTTGTATGCTAATGTTGCAGTCTTTTTCTTTGACTTAATTAACTCCTAACATCTTTAGATTTCTGCTCAAATTTTTCAGACATGATCTAGATTATTGTTCAGATTTTTCAGACATGATCAAACCTTCCTTCACCTATATGCCTATATCAGGCCTCCTTACTATAGGCTCACAAAGCTCTACAGACTTTTTATCTAGTCACAGTTGCATTTTACATCTGCTTGTAGAATTATTTGAGTGATATCTCTTCTTTTCTAATAAGCTTATTGAGGATAAATGCTATTTTTTGTTAATAGTTGATACTAATAATTTGTTCTATGCACATAAGGGACAATTCATGCAAGGCTGCAGTAGGTCATTTTAAGCATATTGGTTTTATATAAACATAGTAGAAATCTATTGAAAGTTTCTTCATAATTAGATGGCAAGTCAGATTTTAGTATTGCAAAGTTAAGCCTCAATTATGGGTGGAAAAATAAAAGGTTGAAAAATGTGATTATTCCAGTAGGCTTAGTAAAAGGTGAAAACATTTTTGGATTCTATAAGTAACTTGGCACTAAAGATACAAATAGCTCGATATATTTAGGTGAAATACTTCATAGGTTTTATCATTTGTTGGATATGTTGGAGTTACTAAACGATGTATAAAATATGTTACTTCAGTTTCTGATGGTGCAACTGGATGAACTGTGATACAATTTATTTAAATAGTGATTCCTGGAAGATAATTCTATTTGACAAATGACAGAGGAAGATTTTCAACTTGATTTTGTTGACCTACCTATTAGAGGCATTTTAGCTATTCATGTATATATTTTTAAAAGACATTTGAATGTGTCTTGAATGGATAAGGAGGTTTAGGGCTTGGAAAAATGTGAGAACTGGAAATATATATTTGATCAACATAAATATGTAGGCAATTGAAACTGTGGAGGTCAATGGCATTCCGTATGCTGACTATAGAATGAACAAGAAAAGAATGCTGGAATCAATATAGTTGAGTAACTGACATATTGTGGATTTGTAGAAAAAAGATGAGTTTCTAGTAACAGAGAAGTACCTACAGTGACAGAAGCATTAAAGGAAATAAATTGAGATGCGTAATACAGAAAATTCTTAGGAGAATTTTCAGCAATTTTTCATTAGCCAATGTTTTAACGCTCTCCATTGCAATTTGTATTGTATGCATACTTCCAATTTAATGAAAAATGCTTTTCCTATGCATTCCATAAAGAATCTTCTTGCTTGACTAGTAAGAGTTCATTCTGCTTGATGTGTCTATGTTTTAACACTGTCTACATATTCTACATTTATGTTACAGTAGAGATAATAAATGACACTTGCTAAAATGCACATTTTGATTAAAGTGGCAGGGATTGGCTTTATGTGTGAGAGTTTAGATACCTTTGATCTATTTATCACAAATTCCTATGAAGATACTGCCTTTTGAATAAGATATTTTCCAAATGTATCAATGACATCACTGTTAACATCCAAATTTAAATAGTGTTTGATTAAACTGAAGACCAAACCGTTCAAGGATAAAACAACAAATTGCAAGTCAAAATGACATGCTACAAGGTGACGTTGGAAAATAGGACTTTAAACATCATACTGCATAAATTTGCCAACTCTATTTCCCCCTCTACTTGGCTCTGATTGGGAGAGATCTGGCCTAAAATTCTAGTGAAAATAACTGTAGATCAATTAAAAGGTATAAGTCTATGTCTTACTTTTTTCTGTGTTGTCCAATACGCAGCTTTTATTGTTTAGCACATATGAAATGGCTCTGAAAATAGTAGTTGCATTAACACTTAAATAGAATATCAACTATATTATTAGAATATATGAAGTGAGCATGGAGGCAAATTCATGTGAGATTTATAGAGCATTAAGCAAATATAAGTAAGCAGATAAAACTTATCTTTGCATTTGTCTATAGGCAGAACACCTCCAGTACTTAATAAAACATCAAAACTGACATCATACTTTTGGAATCTATTTCTATTGCATAGAAACTTCTGTTTGCTGTGTTTATCTCTCTCAGCATTGTTTTAGGAATTGAACCTATATTTCCAGATCATCACTTCCTTGAGGCAAGATCATCTAAATGGGTCATGGAAACCCAATAAATAAAAAAGATTATATATAAATATGTATGTATCTTAATATATACATATGGTCCCTGTCTTTCCCTCTCTGTACCTGTCTCTACATATATTTTCTCATGTATGTGAATATCTTACATTGTAAACATTATCTAAAAAGTAATATCTTGAAATTCACTTAATTTTCTCCTTGAATTTTAACACTAGCCTTTTTTCTCAATAGAATCTCTGATTGTTTGCTTTCTGTGTCACTTTTATTCACCGGTAGCTAAAATGTAATTTTATTGTGATATTTATTAACTTAGAGGCTTAAGCAATAATGGCTTAAATAAAGCACATGTGCTATAATGATTTCAAAGGATGCCTAAAAATGCACCTGTAGAAATCAGTTCACTTTGTATATGTATAGCAAAACTTGTTGTACACCTTAAATATATACAGTAAAATATTCCATGTACTATGTGTTACAATTGTCAAAAATATTTCTTCTACCTTCCTAAATGTAGGAATATTTCTACATTTATATCACATCCATTAACTGATGGATGTTTTTCCAATATTTCTTAAATATTCTCCAAGCAGTCTTAAAACTTACATAATTTAACCTGCTGAATTTTTTTTAAAAAGATACTTTTGGTAATAGTAACTTTTAAAAAACATTTTTCCATAACTAGCATTACAAAATGATAAAAATTTTATTTAAAAAACAAACTGGGGCTGGGTGCAGTGGCTCACGCCTGTAATCCCAGCACTTTGGGAGGCCGAGGTGGGCGGATCACGAGGTCAGGAGATTGAGACCATTCTGGTGAACACGGTGAAACCCCATCTCTACTAAAAATACAAAACAATTAGCCAGACGTGGTGGCAGGCGCCTGTAGTCCCAGCTACCTGGGAGGCTGAGGCAGGAGAAGGGCATGAACCCAGGGGGCAGAACTTGCAGTGAGCGGAGATCGCACCACTGCACTCCAGCCTGGGCGACAGAGCAAGACTCCGTCTAAAAAAACAAACAAAACAAACTTGATGAATATTTCTTTGTTTTGGGTGTTTGAATGCATTAAAGCAAGTTGTATATTCGATCAAAACCTCTACACAGTAAACTTATATGGCAGACAATAAAACAATTAAAGTGTTCATTAGGGGCTCAGACTCTTGATGAGCAAAATACTTTTGCTTTAATAAACCAATGAATATTTCTTCTGATTTTATTGTGTGTTTTCAGTGTTGCTTTGGGAATAAGTTTTACCTACATTTTAAAACAGTTTTATAAAAGTAGAAATTACATGCCTAGAATGTATTAATTATAAGTATAAAATTCAGTGATTTATTACATTGATAGAATTTTGCAATCAGTTTTAAGACATTTCATTAACCCTGGAGAGATCCATTTTGTCTCTTTGCAGTGAACTTCAGTTCCTACTCCCAGGTCCAGAAAAACAATGTTACAATTTTTGTCTCTGTAGACTAGCCTCTTCTGCACATTCAGGAAGTACACGATATTTAGGTTTTTGCATCTTTCTTCTTTCCCTTCGCACAGTGTTTCTGAGGATCATCTATGTTGTAGTATACATCAATAATTTGTTCCTGTCTATTGATGAATATATTCCATTATGTGGGTATACCAGATACAGTTTACTTGTTCACCAGTTGATAGAAATTGTATTGTTCTAGTTATTGACATTTATAAATAATGCTGCTATGAACTTTCCCTTAAAAGTTTTTGTGTGGGCTAGGAGCAGTGACTGATGACTGTAATCCCAGATCTTTGGGAGGCTGAGACCAGAGGATCACTTGAGGCCAGTAGTTCAAGACAAGCCTGAGCAACATAGCAAGACACTGTCTTTACAAAAAATACAACACTTAGCTGTGTTTGCTGGCATGCACCTGTAGTCCAAGCTACTTGGGAGGCTGATGCAGGAGGTTTGCTTGAGCCCAGAAATTCAAGGTTGCAGTGACCCCGATTGTGTGAGGTGGAAATTAAAGAAAGAAAGGAAAATGAAAAAGAGAAAGAATAAGTTTTCTGTATTAAGCTGACTCATCTGCAAGGCAGTGACAGGCAAAAGCTAGACCTACGCAAAAGTCCTGATAACATTATCTAAGAAGCCAGAGCTCAAAGGAATGTGCTTTGGAGACTCTCCCAGCACTCCCTTAACATTAGGAGAAGAAAAACAAATTTTCCTTTCTCTAATGATATGAGTAAATCTATGAGTTTATGTATTCCTATTCTCTGTAACTAGTAACTTCAAGTATTCTATTTTATGTAAGTGGCAGAGAAGGCCATAGGAAGCCTGAGCAGGCCTGAACTACAGCCACCTAGGCGCCATAGCGAAAGTTATGAGATAAGCCTGTACAAGGGACTTGAGTAAAAACTAGATAACAGCCATCTAGGCCACATAGCGAGATGTCATATGTAATCCTGAGTTATGCACCTGACACAATTTGATTAACTGTCTTTGTTCTGCTTCTGTACACTTCTTTCATGCCACTACGCTTCACAGCACTGTAAGCTAGCTTCAAACTAGCCAACCCCCTTTTTAAAGTGTGTATAAAAGCCAAGACTTGTCTTTGTTCTTAGTCCAGTTTTTAGTATGCTAGGTCTGAGTGCACTCACTAAAGATCCTCCTGTATTCACCCCGTAGTCTCTCTAGTCCTTCTGATTCCTGCAACAGTGCACTGCCCTCCAGCCTGGGTGACAGAGCAAGTGCCTGTCTGAAAAAGAAAAAAAAAAAAAGTGAACACATGTTGACATTTCCCTTGAGTAGATAACTAGAAATGGAATAGCTGAATCACAAGATAAATATATGTTTTGACTTTTCAAGGAAGTGCCAAGGTATTTTCTAAAGTGGTGCTACCATTTTACATTCCCACCTACTATATATGAGGGTTTCAATTTGTTCACATCTTTACGTGGTATGTTCAGTAATTTTCATTGTAAACGTTCTAGTGGGTCTAAGGTGGTATCTCATTGTGGTTTTATTGTGCATTTCCTCCCTGACTAATTATATTGGCCATATTTTCATATGTTTATTATCATCTGCCTATCCTCTTGAATGAAATGTCCATTCAGATACTTTGCCCATTTTGCAAAAGGGAGGTTGCTTTCTTAATATTGAGTTGTAAGAGGTATTTCTACTCTAAATAGAAGTATTTTTTAATCAGATACATAATTTGCAAAATGTTTTTTCCAGTCTGTGACTTGTTTTTTCATTGTTTTCAATGTCTTTTAGGCTATTAACATTTTGCCAAACTTAAGTTCTGGAATGCTTTTTTTGTATTTTCTTCTCAATTTTTTTTTTTTTTTTTTTTTTTTTTTAGTTTTTAGCTCCGACATTTAATATCTTTGAGCCAGGTTCAGCTACTATTTGTGTATGGTATAAGGTAAAAGCCTAAATTCATCATTCTGTATGTGGATATTCAATTCCTGCAGCACACTTGTTGAAAGACTATTCTTTCCTCACTTAATTGCCTTGACCCCGTTTTTCAAAAATCAATGGGCCATATAATTTATTGCAATTTCAGATCTTCTCTTCTAGACATTTGTTCCCAACACAAAGAAATGTCAAATGTCATAGGTGATGAATATCCTAAGTATTCTGATTTGATTATTACACATGTATCAGAATATCACAATCCCATAAATATGTACAATTATGTATCAATAAAAATAAAATTTAAAAAAATCAATTGGCCATAAATGTATTTTGTTTTCTAGTCTCAACTTTGTTTCACTGATCAGTATTCCTGTTCTTTAGGCAGCACCACATTGTTTTGATTATTGCTCCTTTATATTACATTAAGAAATTGGGAAATGTGAGTTTTCCAACTTTTCCATTGACAAAAATATCTTGGTTATTCTGAGTAATTTGTGTTTTCATATACATTATAGGAAGGACTTGTCAATTTCTGCTAAAAGGCCTATTGAGACTCTTTTGTAGAGATTAAATTTAATTAGACTGGAAGATATAAGTTACGGTTCTTTTTCTTTGTTTTTAAAATTTTTAATTTGCGTTTTCACTTCTATGTGGTATTTAAAAGCTTGGCTGCCAATAATTTTCAGAGACTATTTAACATCCTTACTGCATAAGACACTGAACCAGCGTTACCCCATGTGTCCCCAGGAATTGTCTGGAATTGGTGAGATTGAATGTTAGGTTGTTAAGTTCTTTATCCAGGTAAATATCTAAGATACACATATACACATGGAAAAGTTCGACTTCTAGAAAAAAATGCATACTCAAATAACAGTTTGACACAATAACCTCACCTTGTTTAAAAGGAAGTAGGCACAAAGTGTAAATACTTTATTCTCAATAAGATTATATTGACAAAACTAGATATTTTGCTATGAAACAATTAGGTGATTTTTTTCTTCATAAAAATGTAAACTAAACTCTCTGTTCTACAGATTTCAAGTACTAATTATCATAGTGCTTTGAAAAAGGCAACAGCAAGTACAAAATTGAGATGCATATTTTGAACTTCAGAAAAGGACCAATTTCCCCTTTAACCTGGCATCTTATTGATTGCATGACCAAAATTCACATGTATCAGTCCAAAGGCATTATATTAGGCTTTCAAAAATGCATATTTTCTCATTTAGTTGCCATAAAGAAACTCTCCCAATTGGCTTATTATTCCAAATCAATAGAAAGGAAACAGAAGCTCACAAAAGCTAACTTACTAAAGCCACAGAGCTGGAAAGTGGCAAATCTAAATCTGAGACAAATCTGTGTCACATCAGTCTGCTGTATTACATGTGCCAGTTGGAGTTAGACCCGAGAGTAGTACAAATAGTCTTTGAAATACCCTTCCTCACATCACTCCAATTATCAGTGTTTTCAACATTTTCTATCTTCAACCATATTTTCTAAATGTGTTTTGTAGGAAATTTGGCTGGGACAGAGAATGACCAAAGGCCAACCTTAGCTAAGAGAGGCTTTTTTTTTTTTTTTTTTTTAAATCAGAGGAAATGCATTGTTCCCTGAAGATGCTTATTGTCAGATTTATTATAGCACAATTCATGGCAAAATGCAAAGAGCAGGGTCTTTGGAATAAGAGATTGAAGTTCAATTACCTAGTACATTTGTAACCTTGGATAATTTACTTAGTAATTCAATTTTATTTATTGCATCATGATTGTAATTATGAGAATTTTTTTTTTTTTTGAGACGAAGTTTCACTCTTGTCATCCAGGCTGGAATGCAATCGTGCAATCTCGGCTCACTACAACCTCTGCCTCCCAGGTTCAAGCAATTTTCCTGCCTCAGCCTCCCAAGTAATTGGGATTACAGGCACCTGTCATCACACTTGGCAAATTTTTGTATTTTTAATAGAGAAGGGGTTTTGCCATGTTGGCCAGGCTGGTCTTAAAGTCCTGACCTCAGGTAATCCACCCGCCTTGGCCTCCCAAACTGCTGGGATTACAGGTGTCAGCCACCGCACCCAGCCTAGAATATTTCTTACGAGAAACCATAAAAGTTAATTTTTAAAAATGCCTCAACTTGTTTGACACATAGTGGACATTATTAACATTTTTGTTTCTGTTTTCATCAGTTTCTTTTGGAAGTCATATTTACATAAATCCAGAACATTAATAACTACAGAAATGATTTGGGAATATGTTTTCATGTAAGAACTTAATAAATGCTAAAAAGTATACAACAAGGATTAGACTAGTTTTCCAACAAGATTAGACTTATCTCTTTCAATTGCATTTTTACTATAATTTACAATCTTTACCTTTCACAGTTTCCTATTATTCATTTTTCAATGTCAGATTCATCAGCAAACTTAAAACTCTAATTTAGAGTTTCAGTAAAATAATTAAGAAATACCATTCTAGAAGCTTAAAATTTAACTTAGAAAGCTAGTACTACTCTTCCATGAACTATGATTCTGAGAGTCACCGATGATGTTAGCTACTGCTGTACTTGCCGGAATTTTCAGATCAAGATACTGCATTTTGTTTTAGGAGAGATCTTCATGTTTAGCATTTAAATTGCAGATCATAAGGTAATTCTTGCCTTTGCTTGCTAGTTCCAGATGGATAGATTCTGACTTACACACTGTTCAATTCCCTATTTTAGTCTGTCATTTCTCTAACAATGCTCAGCATCCATGCAGTTTGGACACAGACCATCAGAACTAAATTGCAATGCCCTCATGAGAAAGGGTTTCTCAACTAGGAGCAAATGCACTTGAAACCTTTTGGATTTTTTTCTAATCACGATTTAGCCCTACAGCTTCTTTCTTTTCATTTTATGTCAGTAATAAACCAAAACACCATGAGAAGTGCCTGAAAGCTAAAGGGATTAAAGTCGCAAACTTATTTTTACATATTTGTCGCACTTACAATCATGTTTGGGTTGTTTCTATTGCCTCATCCTAATTTTCAAGGGACATCATTTCACCCTATCTATATAAACTCTTTCCATTTAAGAAGAGTTATCTATTATTCATAGCTCAGTTTAAACACAAAGTTGATTTGGGTTGCCACTCAATAGCTATCAAGATCCACCCCAGGACAGCCAGTATTTCATAGGTGCACAAAGTGAGTGGTTTGGAAAAGTAACTAAAAGAACAAGGACAATCTGGGGATTATTCCCCATTTTACTCAAATCCATCTATTCTGTAATATTGTAATGTTGCTATAGAGGTTACTAATCCATTTGAAATTTTTTGTTTAAAAATGTTTATGAGGAAATGTCGTAAATCCTCAGGTAACTTTGTATTTCCGTTGAAGAAAATACATTAAAAAACAAATCATTTGTTGCCTTTTCCCCCATTCATATCTCTCTGTATCATATTAATACCCTATGTCCAAAACCAATATAATTTGAACAATTTGTTTTCCAGGTAATTAAATTTTTTAAATCATGGTGATTACAGTATTGGTTTTCATTATTTCATTGTCACAATGTGCTGTGTCATTCAAAAGTAGTGATATACTGACATTTTTCTCAGTTCTTTTGGTGATTTTAAATATCTAGGTATGAATTTTTATTGAGACAAACAAAGATATTTCTTCCCTATGTTAAGATTTTAAATCAAAGATGCATTACAAAATCCTCTACTTGTTAAAATTCTTCCAAGTATTATACTTTTAAAATTATATTTGCCTGGGTTTCTATTGAAATTAAGCATTTTTTCTTAATTGTATTAATGATTTGTGTATTCCTAGGAGCTAGTAGGTCATCTATCTGAATATAGGCCTTCCTTAGGGAACAGTCTTAGCATGAGAATTTAAGGACTATTAAAGATATCTGAAGTACATAAGTAAACCCCTCTTTGTGAAATGTCTGATCAGATCTTTTGCCCATTTTTTAAAATGGGGTTTGACTTTCTATTATAAGTATTATAAAACTTATAAGTATTTTTTATGTATTCTGGACACAAGACCGTTGTCAGAGGTATATTTTGCAAAAATTTTGTCTTTGTCACAAATATTTTAATTTTCTTAATGATATCTTACCAAAAGAAAATTTTTAAAAAGTAGTTGTAGTCCATTATATCAAATATACATTTTATGATTTTTACTTTTATACATATCATTTTAGAAATAGTTGTCTAAGCCAAGGCCACAAACATTTTTCTTAAATATTTCTGGCAGAAAGTTTATGTTTTCCACTTAAATATTTATATTTATGATCAATATCAAGTAAATTTTTGATGTAGCATGAGATAGATGTTGAGGCTTATTTTAAATATTACTATACAATTGTTTCAGCACCATTTTTTGAAATAATTATATTTCACTTTTGAATTAGTTTGACATTTTAGTCAAAAATAAGATTGACCATATCTAAGTAGATCTATTTTTGGAGTTTCTTTTGTGTTTCATTTGTGCATGTGTCTATTCTTATGCTAATACTAGAGTCCTAATTACTCTATTTTTATATTAATCCTTGTAATGGGTTAGTTTATATCCTCTAGCTTTGTTCATTTTCAAAATAGTTTTGGCTTTTTTTGTCCTTTACATTTCCATTTAAAGTTTATAATTAACATCACATTTTACAACAGATTTCCTTAGTTTTGGTTTGAGTTTGCATTAAATCTATAAAGGTGGCGAGAATGGTCACCTTAACAGTTTTGAATCATCTAATTTATGAACATAGATAACGCTCAAATTATAAGTATGTTCTTTGCCTTTTGTCTGCAACATGTTGTAGATAAAGTTGTACAGATTTATTTATATTTCATTTCTCTTTAGTTTTAATAATTCATATCCTTCAAGGATTTTCTTTATTTTAATTGTCAAAATTATTAGAATAAAGTGTTCACAAGTGTTAAATTATAATCTCTCCATTTCTTTTCTTATTTATTTTTTGAGACGGTGTTAGCACTTATTGCCCAAGGTGGAGTACAATGGCACCATCTGGGCTCACTGCAACCTCTGCCTCCAGCTTCAAGCGATTCTCCTTCCTTAGCCTCCCGAGTAGTTGGGATTACAGGCATGCACCACCATGCCCGGCTAATTTTGTATTTTTATTAGAGATAGGGTTTCTCCATGTTGGTCAGGCTGGTCTCGAAGTCCTGACCTCAGGTGATCCGCCCGCCTCAGCCTCCCAAAGTGCTGGGATTACAGACATGAGCCACCGCACCCAGCCTTCAATTTCTTGAGGATCTGTAGTAATTTATCCTCTCTTATTTCTGTTAGTCTCTTTGTCTGTCTCTCTCTCTCTCTTTCTCCTTTCTTTCCTCTCTCTGTCTTTTTCTCTTAATTAGTCCAGCTTGAGTTGTATTCATTTGTAGACTTTCTTTTTCAGAAATAACTTTGGGTTTATTGTTTCTCCTCTATAAATGTTCTGTGTTTTCAATAACAGTGATTTATGTTTGTATCTTTATTATTAATATTTCCTGGCATGTTTTATAAGTGCCAAATCGAAACTATTGGTTGATGATATTCTATCATCCATATTCTTTTGTGTCATGTCATTCTACCAATTGTTGAAAATAAAATGGGGAAACTTCCCACTATATTTGTGGATTTGTCTATTTCTCGTTTCAGTTCTATCTGTATTTTTGTCACATAGGTTGAAGCCCTGGAGTTTGGTTCATACACATATAATATTGCTATATGTTCTTGATGGGTTTTTAAATTTTTAATTATAATGTAATGCCCATATTTTTTCCTAGTAATTTTTTTGTTCCAAGGCCTAACTTTATAATGCTAATGTAGGCACTACTGCAATTTTTATTAATGTATGCAGAATATATTCTTTTTGCATAATTTTTCTTTTAATGTATGTGTTGCTATTTTTGAGTTTCTTAAAAAGAGCATATAGTTGGTTATGGTTTTTTTAAACCTCTGTCAAATCTTGTCTGTTAATGTGCATGTTTAGACATTTTAACATTTAAAGTATATTATACGTATGTATTTGTTATATATCAGTTTACATAAGTGAGGTTTGTTGGTGTCTATATATTATCGGTGATGGAATTTTGAGCTACATAATTCCATTTAGTTATTTTGTATGACTTGTATCTTTGCTGAGGTCTTCTAAATTCCATGAGATTTCTAAAGCAGTTTTATGATAGTTGTTTTAAAATTCTCCCCCAAATGACTCCAATTCATCTCCATATTGGCATTCCTTATCTTTTCTCACTAAATTTTAGTTCTCCTGCTTCTTAGTATAATGAGTGATGTTTTATTGTATCCTGGACATTTTGGTTATTCTGTTAGGTAATTCTTTTTTTCTATCTAAGTCTTCTGTTTTATCAGGAAGTTAGTTTAAGTTTAATGTGTCAGTTCCATTCTACTTCTGTGAGCTTTCATTCTCATAAAGTTTAGTTCCCGAACCCTTTCAATGTTATTCTTGGCTGCTCTATTTTCTCATGCTGCTGGAGCTCCTCCTGCTGAATCCCCCCAACTGGTGCTATCTGCAGGATCACTGGGCAGTCTTCTGGGGTGAAGCTAGAAGCCCCTGAATCTTGTCTTTTTATACTACTGGGTGGAAACCAAGCAGACACAGGGGTTTGCTATTGTTGTAGCTGTGAGCAGATGGGGCCACTCTCAGGGCCCTGGATCCAGAATGCGGATTGAATAACTAGGGCTTTACTTCTGCAGCTGCTGGGAGATCATAACACCCACCTGGCTTGAGTCATGTAGCAAAGGCTGAGATGGCTGAGGATTCACTGTTTCACTGCTGTTGATGAATTTGATCATTAACAGAATCCTCCTTTGTGGAAAATGCTTAACAATCCCCTTAGGTCTCTTGGCTTCTACTCTGCCAGACCTTTGGTCAAAAAGAGCAAGTTTTACCCTTTTTTTATTCTATGCCTATTGGTTGTTCCTTGCTGCAGGCCTTTCCAATACTTGGAATATAGAGAAAATAAAAAGATATCTCAGGGAACTCATCACATTATTATTTCTCAAGTCCTGTAGTGTCTAGCCTGTCTGCCTTCTTTTCAGCTTTCAGAATCCGTTTATTGTTGTCTATTACATAATTTGCAGAGTATGTAATTATACCTAGAGAAGAGGAACAGAAAAAAGTGAATCAACACCGTCTTCTTTCTGAAACTTTATTTATAGCTGTCATTATAACATATTTTTATATCATTCAAAATTAGCAGTGAACCTAGAACATAATACGTGCTTGGAAAGTAAATTATAAGTAAATGAATTAACAAGTTAAGTGGTTGCCTAAATAAAAGGAAAGAAGAAAGAAAGGAAAGAAGAAGAAAAGAAGTCATGAATGAAGAAAATAGAAAAGGAAAGAAAGATTGCTGTTGTTAATGGACTATTTTAATAACAATGTTATATATTGGAAAAGACACCAGCCTCACTTGTGTTACTAGCCAATTTATAATTTTGGTAATGAGTTTAAGTTTTATACACCTATATTTTCTAATTTATAAAATAAAAGGCTCTGATGAAAATTTGTTATCCCTTTCAGTCACGTATGTTCTGGGTCTTAAATAGTCTCTCTGAAAGCCATAATTGATGCTCCATTTAAAAGTGGTTTGCTATTAAGCTTATAGTTGTAGCTTCTGAGGCAGCATGCAAGCCCTGTGACACAGCTGTGCAGTAGTAGGTAACAGCAGCAAGTCAATTGAATTGGTGTAAAACAATAGGAGATTCTGTACATTTTTTTGAAGCAATGGCATATGTAGGGCATGAGTCAAAAAGATTGAGCTGCCAAAAAATGAAAGGCTCAACACAGCTTTCACCTGTGAGCAGCTGGTCACATACTTTTGGTTTTCCAAATAAGTTCACATGTTGAGAGAAACCCACCCAGTGATTGTTATCTTTGAACATCAAGGACAAACGTGTCATAGTTAATGCCTATCCAACTGTTAATGCAGTCTGTGCCTTTATTGGAACTTCTATTCCCAGTCTAAAGGATATTTCATTTAACTGATATACTTTGCCTTGTTGATGTTCCATTAGCACCTAACCTTTTTATGTAAGAAGTCACTAGGGATATGCTGAGGGTGCATATGTTTATTCTCTTGACCCAAACTTAACTAAGGAACTTATATAAAGAGTGTTAAACAAATTTCAGAATTCAGAATAAAATTTTCAATAAAGAAAATGTATAAATGTGACATTAAAACATTTTGCTAGAGGCATAGCTATGTACACTATCCTTCATAGATATATAGTATGCTTCATGAGTATATATGGCACCATGGTTGCTCTTCAGATGCAAGCTGGAAGACTGTTCAGGGTTAATATTTTGAGAGCTTTCTATAATCCCTTCCCTAAAGATAAGTAGAGCTTTCTAAAATGTAAATCTGGTTGTATATTTTCATTGCTTTAAGTCTTTCCATGCATATTTATTAAACATCTAGTGTGTGCAACACACTGTACTAATGTGGAGAATATGGTATAGAGTGTGAATAAAACAGATAAAAAAGTTACAGTCTATTAAGTGAATGCTTGAGACACCAAACTCTCTTAACAATTTTTTAGTTCCTACATGTTAATGACTGTTTATGACTTTTAAAAATGTTTTCCTATTTATTTTCCCCTCCTCACTTTCCCATTTTCCTCTACCTATATCCCCCTACCCTAAAGTAAAACTTGCTTTCAGTTGCCCTTAACCTTTGTCATATGCTCTTCCTTTTGACTGAAATATCATGTCATCAAAACCTGCATACTTATGTGAAAAATACCACTCATTTTCCATCCCTTGCTTTGATATCAGTTCTGAAAGTCCTTTCCTGGTGATCCTGA
The DNA here is from genome assembly GCF_000001405.40 of Homo sapiens. Classification (NCBI taxonomy): domain Eukaryota; kingdom Metazoa; phylum Chordata; class Mammalia; order Primates; family Hominidae; genus Homo; species Homo sapiens. The sequence goes on from NC_000010.11 coordinate 56,380,503, forward strand.
CAGCCACTGGACGTTATCTAAATGCTGCTTCTCTACTTTCCCATACCACTGTCTATATACTGTCTTACAGTGGCTCTTATTACATAGTTGTAAACAATATTATATAGCCATATTTAGGTTTTCATGGATTTAGAACATTTTAAAACGTTGCCAATTGTGGTAAAATATGTAACATGAAATCTATCTTTTAAAATGTTTACATGTACAGTACATAATTGTTAACTATATGAACATGGTTGTATAGCAGGTCTGTAGATATTTTTCATCTTTCATGACTAAAGCTCTATACTCATTGAACGGCATATTCTCATTTCCCCTCTCCCCCTAACCCTAGGCAACTACAATCCCACTTTCTTTTTCTAAGAGTTTGAGACTTTAGATACCTTACATAAATGGAGTCATGAAATATTTGCATTTCTGTGACCATTTCATTTCACGTAGTATAATATGTCAGTGTTCATTCCTATGATGACATATGAAAAGATTCTCTTAGTTTTTAAAGAGTAGATAATATACCACTGTGTGTCATTTTCTTTATCCATTCATCCATCAATGGACATTTAAATCCTTTTCAACTCTTGGCTACTGTGAATAATGCTGCAATGAACATTAAAGTGCAGATATATTCCATTCAAGGTTCTGATTTCAATTCTTTTGGATAAATATCTGAAAGTATGAAGGCTGAATCATATGGTAGCTCTACTTTTTAATTTCTTTGGGGAAACTCCATAATGTTTTCGATAGCAGCTGGACCGGTATGAATTCCCACTGATGGGCTTCTAATTTCTCCACATCCTCATCAACACTTGTTATTTATGACTTTTTTCCCTTTTGTATTTTATTTTTATAATGACCATACATGTTAAGGTATGAGGTGATAAATTATTATGGTTTTATTTAGATTTCCATGATTAGTGGTACTGAGCATCTTTTTATATGCTGATTGGCCATTTGTATTTCTTCTTCGGAGAAGTGTCTATTGAAATTCTTTGACCATTTTTTAATTGGATCATTTGTTTTTATGTTGGGTTATTGGAGCACCTCATGTATTTTGGTATTAACCCCTATATCAGATATTTGCATTCCATACATTGGCTTTTCACTCTGTTGACTGTTTTCTTATCAGTGCAGAAACCTTTTAAGTTTAATTTATTCCCACTTGTCTATTTTGCTTTAGTTACTTGTGTTTTTGGTGTTATATCTAATAAATTGTTGACATAACCAATGTTATAAAGATTTTCCCTTACGTTTTCTTCTAAGAATTTTAAAATTCCAGATCTTACACTTAAGTCTTTAATCCATTTTCATTTGACTTTTGTGTAGTTTGTAAGATAGAGGTCCACTTTTATTTTACATGTGGATATCTAGCTTTTCCAACACCATTTGTTAAAGAGGCTATCATTTCCTCATCGTGTAGTTTTGGCACCTTTGTCAGGGATCATTTGATTGTACAGACGTGTTTATTTCTAGGAACTCTATTCTGTTTCATTGGTCTAAATTTCTGTCCTTATGCCAGTTTCACATTGACTTGGTTACTTTAGTTTTGTAATAGGTTTTGAAGCCACAAACTGAGGCCTTCGGCTTAGTTCTTTCTCGAGATTTTTTTTTTTTTTTAACTCTTCAGGGACTTTTCTGGTTGCATATGATTATAGGATTGTTTTCTCTATTTCTGAAGAAAAAAATGCTGTTGAGATTTTTATTGGGATAGTATTCAATCTGTAGAACACTTTGGGTTATATGAAAATATTAACAAGATTAGGTTTTCCAGTCTATGAATATGAGGTGTCTTTCCATTTACTTGCGTCTTCTATAATTTATTTTAGCAAACTTTTGTAGTTTTCAGTGTACAAGTCTTTTACCTCCTTGGTTAAGTTTATTCCAAAGTATTTTATAAATCTTGATGCTATTATAAATTTTCTTTTCAAATTGTTTAGTTGGTGTAAATAAACACCACTCATTTTTGTATGTTATTTTTATACTGCAGCTTTGCTGAATTTATTAGTTCTAACAATTTTTTGGTGGAATCATTAGGGATTTCTTCATATATGATTATGTCATCTGTGAACAGACATAATTTTATTCTTATTTTCTGATTTGGGTTATTTATTTATTTTTCTTGCCACATTTCTCTTTCTAGGACTTCCAGTACTATGTTAAATAGAAGTGGTGATAGAAGGCATCCTTGTCTTATTCCTAACCTTATAGGAAGAGCCGTATGTTTTGCACCATTGAAGGTGATGTTACTGTAGGATTTTCATATATGGCTTTTATTATGTTGAGGTTTTTCCTCATCTATTGATATAATCATGTGTTTTCATTTTTAATTCTGTTCATGTGCTAAATCACATTTATTGATTTGTGTACATTAAACCAACCTTGCATCCCAAGAATGAAGCCTACTTAGTCACAGCAAATTAACTTTTTAATGTGCGGTTTAATTTGGTTGGCTAATATTTTGTTAAGGATTTTTACATCTATGTTCATCAGGGATATTGGCCTATAGTTTTTGTTGTTGTTGTTTGTGTCTTGCCAGGTTTTTGTATCAGGGTGATGATGGCTTCATAGAATGAGTTAGGGAGGAGTCCCTCCATCTTGATTTTTGGGTAATAGTTTCAGTAGAATTAGTACCAGCTCTTCTTTGTATGTCTAACAGAATTTGGCTGTGAATCTTTCTTGTCTGGTGCTTTTTTTGGCCTGTAGAATTTTTATTACTATTTCAATTCCAGGCTTGATATTGATCTGTTCATTGGTTCAATTTCTTCCTGATTTAATCTTGGGAGATTGCACATTTCCAAAATTTATTCATTTTCTCTAGTTTTTCTAGTTTGTGTTCATAGAGGTGTTCATAATAGTCTCTGAGAAACTTTTGTATTTCTGTAGGATCAGTTGTAATGTCACCTTTGTCATTTCTGATTGTTCTTATTTGACTCTTCTCTTTTTTCTTTGTTAATCTAGCTGGAGGTCTATCAGTCTTGTTTATCCTTTGAAAAATACAACTTTTGGTTTCATTGACTCTTTGTATGGATTTTCATTGACGCTTTGTATGGATGAAATCATTTCTGCTCTGATTTTAATTATTGCTTTTTTTTTCCCTAGCTTAGGGGTGAGTTTGTTCTTGTTTTTATAGTTCTTCTAGGTTTGATGTTAGATTGTTAATGTGACATCTTTCTACTTTTTGAGGTTGGCATTAGTGCTATAAACATTACTCTTAACACTGCTTCTCTGCATCCCACAGATTTTGGTATGTTATGTCTCTGCTTTCATTTATTTCAAATATTTTTTATTTCTTCTTTGATGTTATTTGTTGGCCTAAAAGTCACTGAGGAGCAAGTTGTTTAATTTCCATGTAATTGTATGGTTTTGAGCCTCTTAGTATTGATCACAATTTTTATTCCACTGTGGTTCCAGCAGATGGTTTGTATGATTTTCATTTTTTTAATTTACTGAGACTTGATTTATTGCCAAGCATGTGGTTGATCTTGGAGTAGGTTCTATGTGCAGATGATAAGAATCTGTATAATGTGGTTGAGGAGCAGAACATTCTGTACATGTCTATTAGGTCCAGTTTGTCAAGTTTCAAGTTTAAGTCTAGAAATTTTTAGTAGTTTCAGCCTCAATAATCTGTCTAATGCTGTCAGCAGGGTGTTGAAGTCCCTGATTATTATTATGTGGCTACCTAATTCTTTTCATAGGCCTAGAAGTACTTGTTTTATGAATCTGGGTTCTCCAACATTGGGTACATATATATTTATGATAATTAAATCTTCTTATTCAATTGAAACCTTTTTTGTTATGTAATGCCGTTCTTTGTCCTTTTTTACTGTAGCTGATTTAAAGTCTGTTTTCTCTGATACGAGAATAGTGACTCCTGCTCTTTTTGTTTTTCATTTGCAAGGTAAATCTTTCTCCAACGCTTTACTTTCAGCCCATGTGTGTCATTACCTGTGAGATGGGTCTCTTGAAGAGAGCAATTAGATAGGTTTTGTTTTTTTATTCACCTTGCCACTCTGTGGCTTTTAAGTGGGGCATTCAGATTGTTCACATATAAGGTAATATTGGTATGTGAGGTTTTGATCCTATCATAAAGTTGTTAGCTTGCTGCTTTGCAGTTTCTATTGTGTGGTGGCTTTACAGGGTCTTCAGGCTATGTACCTAGGTTTGTTTTTGTGGTAGTGGTTATTGTTATTTTGTTTCCATGTTTAGAACTCCCTTAAGGATGTCCTGTAATACTGGACTTGTGGCAATGAAAACCTTTAGCACTTGCTTTTCTGGAAAATATTTTTATTTCACCTTCTCCTATGAAGCTTAGTTTGGCAGGATATGAAATTTTTGGTTGGAATTTCTTTTCTTTAAGAATGCTGAAAATAGGCCCCCAATTTTTCCTGGCCTGTAAGGTTTCTGCTGAGTTGGCCAGTTTTAGCCTGATGAGACTCCCTTTGTATGTGATCTGAGATGTTTCCCTAGCTTCCTTTTAATAATTTTTCACTGGCAGTGAACTTGGATAGTCCAGTGACCATGTGCCTTGATTATGTTCCTTTTGTAGAGTATCTGACAAAGGTTCTCTGGATTTCTTGTATATGGATGTCTAACTCTCTGGCCAGATTAGGGAAATTTCCTTGAATTATTTCCTCAAATATGTTTTCTAGGTTGTTTAATTTTTCTCTTTTTCTCTTAGGAATGCCAATAATTTGTAAGTTTGGTCACTTTACTTAATCTCATATTCCTCAGAAACCTTGTTCGTTTTTAAAAATTCTTTTGTGGTATTGGCATTTACCACTGAAAACTTATTATCTTTTTACTACTTTTGCTGTATCTCATGTATTTTGGTATGTTCTGTTTCTAATTAGTTACCCCAAAATATTTTCTAATTTCACTTTTGATTTCTTCCTTGTCCCATTGGTTGTTTGAGAGTGTGTTATTTAATTTCCATGTATGTGGCTTTTTTAGTATTTTTTTTTGCTGTTGATTTATAGTTTCACTCGATTCTGATTGGAAGATACACTTAGTATGATTTAAAACTTTTAAAATTTGTTAGTACTTGCTTTATGACCTATCAAATAATTAATCCTGTAAAACATTCTGTGTATGCTTGACAAGACTGTGTACTGTCTTGCTTTTGGGTAAAATATTCTCTATATGTTCATAAGGTTAATTTGGTCTATATTTTATTCATGTCCTCTGTTTCCTTGTTGAATTTTTCTCTATATGTTCATCAGTTTTTTTATAATTCCAAGTTTATTTTTTTATTTTTATTTTGTATTATACTTTAAGTTCTAGGGTACATGTTCACAACGTGCCGGTTTGTTACATATGTATACATGTGCCATGTTGGTGTGCTGCACCCATTAAATCGCCATTTACATTAGGTATATCTCCTAATGCTATTCCTCCCTACTCCCCTCACCCCGGTGTATGATGTTCCTCTTCCTGTGTCCATGTATTCTCATTGTTCAGTTCCCACCTATGAGTGAGAACATGTGGTGTTTGGTTTCTTGTCCTTGCAATAGTTTGCTGAGAATGATGGTTTCCAGCTTCAGCCATGTCCCTACAAAGGACATGAACTCATCCTTTTTTATGGCTGCAAAGTATTCCATGGTGTATATGAGCCACATTTTCTTAATCCGGTCTATCATTGATGGATATTTGGGTTGGTTCCAAGTCTTTGTTATTGTGAATAGTGCCGCAATAAACATACGTGTGCATGTGTCTTTATAGCAGCATGATTTATAATCCTTTGGGTATATACCCAGTAGTGGGATGGCTGGGTCAAATGGTATTTCTAGTTCTAGATCCTTGAGGAATTGCCACACTGTCTTCTACAATGGTTGAAGTAGTTTACAGTCCCACCAACAGTGTAAAAGTGTTCCTGTTTTTCCACATCCTCTCCAGCACCTGTTGTTTCCTGACTTTTTAGTGATCGCCATTATAACTGGTGTGAGATGGTGTCTCACTGTGGTTTTGATTTGCATTTCTCTGATGGCCAGTGATGATGAGCATTTTTTCATGTGTCTTTTGGCTGCATAAATGTCTTCTTTTGAGAAGTGTCTGTTCATATCCTTCGCCCACTTTTTGATGGGGTTGTTTGTTTTTTTCTTGTAAATCTGTTTGAGTTCTTTGTATATTCTGGATATTAGCCCTTTTTCAGATGAGTAGATTGCAAAAATTTTTTCCCATTCTGTAGGTTGCCTGTTCACTCTGATGGTAGTTTCTTTTGCTGTGCAGAAGACCTTTAGTTTAATTAGATCCCATGGAAGAACATTCCATGCTCATGGATAGGAAGAATCAATGTCGTGAAAATGGCCATACTGCCCAAGGTAATTTATAGATTCAATGCCACCCCCATCAAGCTACCAATGACTTTCTTCACAGAATTGGAAAAAACTACTTTAAAGTTCACATGGAACTTTAAAGAGCCCGCATTGCCAAGTCAATCCTAAGCCAAAAATAAACAAAGCTGGAGGCATCATGCTACCTGACTTCAAACTATACTACAAGGCTACAGTAACCAAAACATCATGGTACTGGTACCAAAACAGAGATATAGACCAATGGAACAGAATAGAGCCCTCAGAAATAATACCACACATCTACAACCATCTGATCTTTTACAACCTGACAAAAACAAGAAATGCGGAAAGGATTCCCTATTTAATAAATGGTGCTGGGAAAACTGGCTAGCCATATGTAGAAAGCTGAAACTGGATCCCTTCCTTACACCTTATATAAAAATTAATTCAAGATGGATTAAAGACTTAAATGTTAGACCTAAAACCATAGAAACCCTAGAAGAAAACCTAGGCAATACCATTCAGGACATAGGCATGGGCAAGGACTTCATGTCTAAAACAACAAAAGCAATGGCAATAAAAGCCAAAATTGACAAATGTTCATCAGTTTTTTAAAGTAGGGTGTAGAAATTGCCTATTATTTTTGCATTGCTTTCTATTTCTCCCTTTAGTTCTGTCACTATTTAAAAAATGTGTATTTGGGTCCTCTGATATTTGATGCATATATGTTTAAAATTATTTTATTTTCCTGGTTAATGGACCATTTCATGATTATATAATGTTATTGTTTGTGTTTTATGACAGTTTTTATTTAAAGTCTATTTTATCTGATTTTAATTGTGCTCACTCACCCCATACTCTTTTTGTTATTATTTTCATGGAATATTTTGTACCATTTTAATGGACTCCTTCTAAGTCTTTCATATTGCATATATTGTTCCCCTTAATGGTGTACCAGAAGTCCCACTTTGTATGTATGTATGTGTATATGTATGTATGTATTTATTTATTTTTGCATATGTGACTGGATAATTTCAAATGACCTTTCTTTTAGCTTGCAGATTTTTTCTTCTGCTTGACTAAGTCTGGGGTTGAGCCTCTCTATGAATTTTTTATTTCAGTTATTGTGTTCTTAGGCTTTAAAAGTTATGATTTTTTAAAAAAAAGTTTTGTCTCCTGTTTGATATTCTCATTCGTTGTTTGTTTGCTAAGCCCATTGGGCATCTCTACAACTGTTACTTTGAATTCTTTGTCAGGTAGTTAATATGCCTCAATTTTTCTTAGGATCAGTTTCTGGAGATCCATTTCGTTCCTTTGATTAGATCATGTTTTCTGTTTTACTCTATGCCTTTAATTTTGTGTTGGGACCCACACATTTGAAATAACAGCCACCTCTTCCATTCTTTCTGGTTTCATACTAGGAAACACTTATGCAATCAGCCTGGCTAAAGATTCTAGCAGCCTTTCCAGTCTTTTCTGGGTATGTGTCTTCTCTGGGACTATGAATGCAAATTAGCAATTGGAAAGTTTTCCTTGTTTCTTTTTCAGGAGATTGTAGTATCTTGGACCTTCTGGTGTCTATCTCTGGTATTGCAGGTTATTTGACTAACTCCAGCTGCTGAGCTGTTTTATACTCAGCATACCCCTAGGTATCTAAGGTATGCTTGTTCTGTCAGTGCTCTGAGTCAGTGAGGCTGAAATCAGTCCCTCTCACAGCTCACTGAAAAACTATAGAATTAGATACATATTCCATTCTTTTCTTTCCCAGGGGAGAAGCCATTACTTAGTCTCTTAATCCTGAAGTAGTGAGTTGTGCTGGTTTTTGTCTGTGGTTTGTGTGTTTTTTTGGTGTGGTTTTCATTGTGTTCTCTCATGCTATCTATCACAAGCCACTGAGCTCTCTTGTTCTCTATGGGCCAAGGCATTTAAGGTATGATGGTTACCCATCAGTGCTCTGAATCACATGAGACAGAAATTAGTCCCTCAGACAGCACACCAAAAATCTGGAACATTCTACTCTTCCTTTTACTTTCTGAGAGAAGCCAGAAGTTGGTCTCTTTCTCCTAGTTATGCCAGACTTGGAGAGAAGCTGACACAGTCAAAATGGCTCTTTGTACCCATTTCAATGTGTTTGTTTTTGGTTTGGAGCTCGCATCACCCTGATTTCAGGAATTCTTATAAAGACTTTTTGGACCATATGTTGTTTTAAGTTGGAGTTTTGGTGGAGAAACAAGATTTTTGGATTACTATTCAGCTATCTTGCTGACATCACTTCTGGGTTTTGATCATCTTGTGCAACATAGGTACCATAGATTTGGTACTCAACAAATATCTATAGAATCTGAATAAACTACTCTCAATTCAGGCTTATAATATTAAACTTGCTTCTAAATGACATCAAAATGCTTAGCTTTGTGAAGACATCCATGGCCTTGGCAGAGTTGTTCATTTGTCTTCAAGACTGTGGGTTTCAGGGCATAGTGTCTATGCATATTCAACCGATAAAACAACAAAGCCGTAAGTAATGTTCTCTGATAGAATTTTCTCCAGTGATGAACATGTTTATTTCTGCTATCCAAAAAGATTGCCAGAAGCCATATGTGGCTTGTGAGCACTTGAAATGTGGCTAGTGTGACTGATAGAATTTTAAATTTAACTTAAATTTAGTTTTTTGAAAACTGAATTTTAAATAAGCGCGTGTGGCTAATCATTACCATGCTGGACAGTGCAACTCTAAAAAACTTGAGAGCTATTATGTCTCTAAAAATGTATTTTGAAAATATTTATGCTATAACATTTTCTCTTTTCTCATTGTGAGAAGGAACCTACAGTCATGCCATATCATTGTGTTGACTTGACAATAAGTTTCTGCCTGCTACCAGACCCAGTTTTTTTTTTGTTTGTTTTGCTTGGTTTTGTTTTCTTTATTCTTTTTTTTTTATTTTGGACATTTTCTTGGCTGTATGTATGCATCCATAAAACAGATAATGACTCAATTTTATTGTTAATGTTATTATTCCATGGCATTTAAAAATTATATCAAATAAATAGTATGCATTTATTTAGATCAAATAATACTACAAAGTTTAAAAAAGAAGTGAGATATTTTTCTGGCCACCACTTTATCGCACTCCTGAGTTATGCTCTTTGAAACAACTACTTTGAACTTTTACAGCTATTTCTCCTGATATTTCCCTTCATACATGTAAAATATGATTAAACCTATTTTTCAGATATAAAGAATATTCTGTATCCATGTATGGCAGATAAGGATCCAAATTTCTTTTATTACGCCACTGTCCACACACACACACACACACACACACACACACACACTCACACTCACACTCACATAATATAGTCATATTGTAATTTTAGTCAAATTAAATTTTAGTAATTTACATGCACAAATTTATGCAAATAATTTTTACAACTGAGGCAGGATTTAGGGGAGAAAATGCCTATCATTTACACTTGATTTTCTCTTTCATGTGAGCACTCCTGCTTCCTTTTTGCCTCCTCTCCTTATTCACTCCAGAGAAGTTGGGGTTATCAATCTAATTAATGAATTTGGTAGAAACAACAGGAAGATCTGACTATGCCTCTTTCTCTCATGTCTTCCCATTAAAAATTAACTTGCTTATGAATTGCTAATTCTGTAGAATTCAGCACTGGATCTTGATCAATTAAATGGGGGTCATAGACTTTGGCAAAGTTTTAGGGTTTGGAAAACCTCTTACAGCTATACAAGTGATATAATTTGGCTCTGTGTCCCCATCGAGATCTCATCTCAAATTGTAATCCCCATATGTCAAGGGAGGGACCTGGTGGGAAGTGATTGGATCATGGAGGCAGTTTCCCCCATGCTAGTCTCATGATAGTGAGTGAGTTCTCATGAGATCTGATGGTATAAAAGTATGTGGCTTTCTTCACTCTCTCTCTCTCTCCTGCTGCCATGTAAGACATGCCTTGTTTACCCCTTTGCCTTCTGCCATGATTTTAAGTTTCTTGAAGTCTTTCCAGAAGCAGAAGCCTGTGCAACCCACAGAATAGTGAGTTAATTAAACTTCTTAATTTATAACCCTGTCTCAGGTATGTCTTTATAGAAGTGTGAGAATGAACCAATACACTCGCACATAGTGAGTTCTTAATATAAGTTACTAATGTTATTATCTGTGTATAAATTATACAATAAGAACAGTTCAGATTTATTTACATTATACTCTTCATGTTACTCAAAATGTCATAATTTTGGGCAGAAATGTATTAACATCATCCATTAAAATGGCTAGGGCAAAGGATATGAACAGACACTTCTAAAAAGAAGACATTTATGCAACCAACAAACATATGAAAAAATGTTCATCATCGCAGGTCATTAGAGAACTGCAAATCAAAACCACTGTGAAATACCATCTCACGCCAGTCAGAATGGCGATCATTAAAAAGTAAGGAAACAACAGATGCTGGAGAGGATATAGAGAAATAGGAATGCTTTTACACTGTTTGATGGGAGTGTAAATTAGTTCAACCATTGTGGAAGACAGTGTGGCTATTCCTCAAGGATCTAGAACTAGAAATACCATTTGACCCAGCAATCCCATTACTGGGTATATACCCAAAGGATTATAAATCATTCTACTATAATGATACATGCACACATATGTTTATTGTGGCACTATTCTCAATAGCAAAGACTTGGAACCAGCCCAAATATCCATCCATGATAGACTGGATACAGAAAATGTGGTATACACCATGGAATACTATGCAGCCATAAAAAAGGATGAGTTCATGTCCTTTGCATGGACATGGATGAAGCTGGAAACCATCATTCTCAGCAAACTAACGCAAGAACGGAAAACCAAATACTGCATGTTCTCACTCATAAGTGGAAGTTGAACAATGAGAACACATGGACCCAGGGAGAGGGACATCACACCCTGGGGGGTGCTTAGGGGAGATATAGCATTAGGAGAAATACCTAATGTAGGTGATGGGTTGATGGGTGCAGCAAACCACCATGACACATGTATACCTATGTAACAAAACTGCACGTTCTGCACATGTATCTCAGAACTTAAAGCATAATAATAATAAAAAAACAATTTATACTGATTAAAAAATGTTATCTCACATCAGATACAGAGAATAAATGAGCAGCCTCCAATCCTTTTTAGGAAGGAGGCAGGACATAAATAAACAAAATATGGACTAAATGAAATATAACTTAAGCAATCTCCCTATATACATTTTTCAACAAACCTGAAATCTATTAGGTAAAAAGAAGTGGCTGAGATGGACATTCATATGGGTAGTCCAAAAGTACTGACCCTAAATTAGAGTTGTAGTCACTGCTATTATATACAGTATTTTATAATAATTTTTTAAGTCCATACTGTTTTGGACTGACTTATGTCCCCCCAAAATTCATATGTTAAAGTCCTTAATCTCAATATGAGTGTATTTGGAAATAGGGACTTTAAGGAGGTAATTAAGGTTAAATTGGTCCCTAATCCAGTAAGACTACTGTCCTTACGATAATAAGAAAAACTAGGAATACATGCACACAGAGAAAAGACCGTGTGAAGACACAGCAAGAAGGTGGCAGTCTGCAAGCCTAGAAGAGTGATCCTAGCAGAAAACAACCCTGCCAGCACCTTGATCTTGGACATCCAGGCTTCAGAAGAGTGGGAAAATAAATTTCTTTTGCTTAAGCCACCCAAGTCTGCGGCATTTTTTATGGCAGTCCAAGCAGATTAATACACACATCTTATCATCAGTTGGAAATACAATATGATTCCATAACTTTGAACCATCCAAAATTATCTAATCATTGTACTGGAAGTCACATTCCTTTATTTAATAATTGATTAGATCACTTTTACTCTTCCTACAACCATTTTTGTATCATGCTGTATTTGTTCGTTGGGAATGAAAGTTTGTTTCCTATTATAAATACTGCAATGATTTTATCTCATTTCCCTGTCTAGAAAAATGAATCATGGAGGGACATTAACATTAAACAATAATTTTGGCAAATAATACTTTGTGTTTTAAGAATGAAGGCCATAAATTGCATTAATAACTTCACTCTATTAATCAGTGCCTCTTTTCATTATAAAATAAATACATATACACACATTAAATTACTCTATTGAGGGAAGGAAAAGCATTTGAATATGTGTTTCTGCATGTGGGGTAGTTATTAAACAAAAAAAATTTAAAGAAATAGAACATTTTTAAATTTTAAAAATATATAATGGCATATTTAACAGTTACGAAACTATGCTATGTTTCTCATGAAAAATGAATATAATAATTGCAGAGTGAATAAAAAGGGAGAATAAGAAATGTATGTGAGCATGTCTCTTTCCTAAAAACTTACACACAGAAGTTCATTGTGTAACTAACCATTGCTGAATGACTGGATTTGTAATCCAAGGAATGTTCTCTGTATCACTAGTGAAAGTAAGTGGAGCTCAAACAATGTGACACAAATCTGAAAAACCATAACACTTAGTTTTTGGTTGCTATAACAAATCACTATAAACTGGGTAGTTTATAAACAACTTACTTCTCACATTGCAAGAGGTTGACAAGTCCAAGATGAAGATGCAGTACATTAGGTATCTGGTGAGTGCCTGCTTACTGGTTCTTGGGCAGTGATCTTTTTGCCCCTGTCTTCACATGTTGGAAATTGGGAATGAGCTCCTTTAGTTCTCTTTTATAAAGGCACTAGTTCCATTCATGAGGCTCAGCTCTCATGACCTAATGATCTCCCAAAGGCCCTACCTTCTACTACCTTGGGGGTTTGTATATAATACACAAATTTTGAGAGATCACAAACATCCAGATCACTTCACTTTGATAGATTGAATCACCTTAATATGAGAATAATGCCTTCCAGAATTACCTGAGGCCTGAAAAGAGCATTAAGTATAATCAGCTGCCTTTAGTCTGATGAAAATTTGTAATTTCCATTTCAGAGGCAAGAAGCAGAGCTGTCAAGTGACTTAGATATGGTAATACAGCTAACAAGTCATCACTTAGGATTTAGAATGCCTGTTTTCTTTATCCATGTTGCTGCTTATTCAGTGAGTGGTTTTTCCCACTTTATACTGTATTTATATGTGGTAACGCTATTTGTGAGCTTTGGGGAATAGTTATGTACTGAATAAACACTTATGCAAGTTTATATTAATCACATTATTTTTCAACTGTGTGTTCCATTCTTTCTCAGAAAAATAAAGATGGTACGTTTTTACCAAATCTAAGTGACATGGTCAGTCATTAATTAGTAAAAAAAAAATTCCCAAATGCACAAAATCCTTCCTTTTTCTAAATAGGATATTATTTCTACTTTACAAAGCTAATAGCTATAGCTTCTCTAGAGACAAGTCCAACTGCCCAAAATGTGGCAAAATTATAATGAAAAGATAACTTTTAAAATGTACCTCATTAGTCTTTAGTATATATCTATGAAGGAGGTAACTGTTGGCTTAAAATGTATATAGGATGAGAGCTTGAAAAAAATTAGAGGTAAAGTTAATATTCTAAATGTTACAGTTTATATGTTAAAGAGAGATTTGGGCTGGAAATAATTTGGAAATTATGTAGATTAAATTAAAAATATTTTATACAAAACATCTTTGCCAACATTCTCAGGTTTTTCATTTGTAATATTTTCTTAAAGAAACAAAATGAAGTAAAATGACTGTAAATACTGTAGTAAAATAATTTTTTAGAAACGTTATAATTTCCATTATAGTATACTAATTACTACCATAGTAATATCCACAGTTTAAAAATTTTTCCATTTTGATAAGTGAAAAATATTTTATTTTTGAAATTTACATTTACTTGAGGTAAATTACTTTCAACATGTGATTTAATGCCCAAACTAGCATGAAATGCAAAAGTAGAAAAATTTGCAAAGTTTCAAATATTTTTTTTTATTATTATTATACTTTTAAGTTTTAGGGTTCATGTGCACAACGTGCAGGTTAGTTACATATGTATACATGTGCCATGCTGGTGTGCTGCACTCATTAACTCGTCATTTAGCATTAGGTATATCTCCTAATGCTATCCCTCCCCCCTCCCCCACCCCAGAACAGTCCCCAGAGTGCGATGTTCCCCTTCCTGTGTCCATGTGTTCTCATTGTTCAATTCCCACCTATGAGTGAGAACATGCGGTGTTTGGTTTTTTGTTCTTGAGATAGTTTACTGAGAATGATGATTTCCAATTTCATCCATGTCCCTACAAAGGACATGAACTCACCATTTTTTATGGCTGCATAGTATTCCATGGTGTATATGTGCCACATTTTCTTAATCCAGTCTATCATTGTTGGACATGTGGATTGGTTCCAAGTCTTTGCTATTGTGAATAGTGCCGCAATAAACATACGTGTGCATGTGTTTTTATAGCAGCATGATTTATAGTCCTTTGGGTATATACCCAGTAATGGGATGGCTGGGTCAAATGGTATTTCTAGTTCTAGATCCCTGAGGAATCGCCACACTGACTTCCACAATGGTTGAACTAGTTTACAATCCCACCAACAGTATAAAAGTGTTCCTATTTCTCCACATCCTCTCCAGCACCTGTTGTTTCCTGACTTTTTAATGATTGCCATTCTAACTGGTGTGAGATGGTATCTCATTGTGGTTTTGATTTGCATTTCTCTGATGGCCAGTGATGGTGAGCATTTTTTCATGTGTTTTTTGGCTGCATAAATGTCTTCTTTTGAGAAGTGTCTGTTCATGTCCTTCGCCCACTTTTTGATGGGGTTGTTTTTTTCTTGTAAATTTGTTTGAGTTCATTGTAGATTCTGGATATTAGCCCTTTGTCAGATAAGTAGGTTGTGAAAATTTTCTCCCATTTTGTAGGTTGCCTGTTCACTCTGATGGTAGTTTCTTTTGCTGTGCAGAAGCTCTTGAGTTTAATTAGATCCCATTTGTCAATTTTGGCTTTTGTTGCCATTGCTTTTGGTGTTTTAGACATGAAGTCCTTGCCCATGCCTATGTCCTGAATGGTAATGCCTAGGTTTTCTTCTAGGGTTTTTATGGTTTTAGGTCTAATGTTTAAGTCTTTAATCCATCTTGAATTAAGTTTTGTATAAGGTGTAAGGAAGGGATCCAGTTTCAGCTTTCTACATATGGCTAGCCGGTTTTCTCAAATATTTTTTTCTAATGCTTCAGTTTTTAGGAAGCTACCGGAAAATACATCCCACAGAAATGAGAAAGCAAATTACAAGAGAAGAAATTTCTTAAAATATGGATCTTAACAAAAGATAGTTGAATGGTAAATTTGGATAAATAAATAGACGATGTTCAGGAAAATGTCCGAGTCATTGTTGTCTCTCCTGTGCTATCACTCTTTCACTGTGAAAAGCCCCTGGGACTTAGAATCTGTCTAGAGTGTAAAGAGTTATAGAAAAATCTTGAGTTGGCTACAGAAATTTACAAATAAATGGGATTAATCCAAACTGGCAAGGTTTTTTGTTTTTTGTTTTTTTATGTTTGACAGAATGGAAATGTATTGTAAAAGCAATGCAGTTATAGTAATAAAGTTACGTATTTTAATATTTGTGTTTATTTTCTAGAAAAATATATATCAGGTCCTATATTAGTGTTCTCCTGAGGAACAGAACACTATATATATATAAAGAGATTCATTATAAGAAACTAGATCACATAATTATGGAGGCTGGAAAGTCCAAAATCTGAAGTGTGACCTGAACCATCAGGCTTGAGACCCAGAAGATCTGATGTTTCAGTTTCATCTGAAAACTTGCAAGCAGAAATCCAGGAAAGCTGATGTGCAGATGAAGCCTGAAGGCAGTGTGAGAGGCTGGTCTTTGTGTTCTATTTAAGCCTTCAGCTGATTGGATGAGGCCCATCCAAATTATGGAGGCCAGTCTGCTTACTCAAAGATCACCAATTTAAATGTTAATCTCTACCATCTCACACCAGTCAGAATGACTATTACTAAAAGTAAAAAGACAACAGATGCTGGTGAGGCTGGGGAGAAAATGGCATGCTCATACACTGTTGGTTTAAATATAAGTTAGTTCAGCCATTGGGAAAGCAGTGTGAAGATTTCTCAAAGAACTTAAACTAGAACTACCATTCGACTTAGCAATCCCATTACTGGCTATAAACCCAAAGAAAACTAAATCATTATACCAATAAGATACATACACTCATATGTTTATCACTGCCCTATTTGTGGTAGCAAAGACGTGGAATTAAACTAAGTGCCCATCAATGGGTGTACTGGATAAAGAAAATGTGGTACATATATACCATGGAATACTATTCAGCCTTAAAAAGAATGAAATCATGTCCTTTGCATTAAATGAATAGAGCTGGAGGCCATAATCCTAAGAGAATTAACACAGGAAAAGAAAACTAAACAGTACATGTTTTTATTTATAAATGAGAGTTAAACATTGAACATTTATGGACATAAACATGGGAACAATAGACACTCCTAACTACCAGTGGGATGAAGGAAGGAGGGAGATGTGGGTTGAAAAACTACCTATTTTACTATATGCACCATCTGGGTGCAATATACCTATATAACAAACCTGCATGTGTACCCTGTGTATCTAAAATAATAGTTCAAATTGAAAAAATAAATATAAAAATAAATAAATAAATAAATGTTTATCTCATCCAAATACACCCTCCGAATTGACACCTAAAATTAACTATCATAGATCCTTTGTTCAAATACTTGCATGGAATGTTTTCAGAGGTGAAACATGGGTGATGCTAAAGCTGATTCTTTTTGTTTTTGTTTTTCTTTTTTTGGTGCAGTGACACAATCTTGGCTCAGTGCAACCTCCACCTCCTTGGCTCAAGGGATCCTCCTGTCTCAGCCTCTTGAGTAGCTGGGACTACAGGTGTGTGCCACCACATCCAGCTAAGTTTTGTATTTTTTGTAGAGATAGGGTTTTGCCATGTTTCCCAGGCTAGTCTCAAACTCCTGGGCTCAAGCCTATACTGAAAGGCAGAAATTTATAAGGAAAGGGATAAGCATGAAAGCATAGATCCTTTTAACTTCTAGGTTTGTGTTAGAACTACTTGTTAATGACAGTAACACTTCTCATTACATTGTGGGCTAGGCTCTTATTCTGGAATTATCCATATCCATTTTTCAGTCACCAGGCTTGAGAGTCTGTAAGCAAAACTAACTTCATATGCAGTGAATATGAGGCATGTGTTCCATCTTCTATCACCATAAAATTAATCTCCTTAGATTTGCCACAGTGGAGTTTCAAGTCCTAAAATTGCACTCAGTAATATATAAAATGCTGCTGTGCTTATAATTTCACCATCATACATTTAGCTACAATTGGAAATGAGGCCTAGTAGAAGTACATAATCAATTTAGTAAATTTATCTTTGCTTCCTTAGACAATTTCCTTTGAAATCAAACACTTGTGGAAATGTTGATTACTTGAATGACATAAGAATGGCAGATTTTTTTTGAGTGCTTCATTTTTCTATTTCTCTCATTTTCACCCAAAATACTTTAATCTTTCCTCGTGGGAGGAAAACTGTTATGCAATAAATGAGACAGGCTTTGAAACTTCAAAGAATTTATACATGTTTTCAGTGATTTTACGAATAGTCTAATAGGTTTTCTTGATGCAGAATACAATTTGAAGAAACAAATAAAAATAAAATAGATAACTGAATAAAATGAGAGAGAGAGAGGAAATTCTGCATCCCAGGAAACCCCACAGAGGTATCACCTTCTTGCCTTGATATAAGATAACTTACTGAGTGTCACATTGCAAGATAAAATTGAGCCATCTTATATGGAACATCTTACTGATGTGACCCCTGTCTCTTCACCTTAGGTAATTTGGCCCCAAAAAATCCATGTACAGAGCATTAAGACTGGACAGTAAGTTTCCTGTACTTGAGAGCCTCTGCATGTACTCAAAAGTATTAAACATAACCGTTTCTCTTTTCGCCCTCTCAGTCTCCTACTTTATGGTCTTATGTAAAGCTTCACAGTAAAGATTAGCTAGAAGATCATGCTCTGAGGAAGTGAGATCTGTGATGGAGACCTGAAAGACTCCCCAACATACCCTCCCTGCACAAACACAGCCATGCAATGCCACTAATAGTGCTGAGCTATGCTAGCAAATAGGAGGTTCAAACATGTTTCCCCTGCCAGGAACACTCTTCTCATTTCTCACTTGTTCCTTTTTATCTTTCCAGTCTCAAGACCTTCAAAAAAGGGCCTTTCTAGCCATTTTTATAGCATCTATAGGATGGTTCATTTTATATGTCAACCTGAATGGGCTACATGATGCCCAAATATTTGGTTAAACATTATTCTGGGTGTGATTGTGAGGGTGATTCTGGATGAGATTAACATTTGAATCAGTAGACTGAATGAAGCAGATTGTCTTCTCCAATGTGAGTGGGCTTTACTTATCCAATCTGTTGCAGGCCTAAATGGAACAAAAGATGAGATAAGGGAGAATTCATTCTCTCTGCCTGATTGTTTATGAGTTGAGACATCATCCTCACTTGTACTTGGACAGGAACTGTGCTACCGGCTTGCTCTCCTGGGTCTACAGCTTATAGAGGGCAGATTGTGAGACTTCTCAGCCTTCATTACTACATGAGCCAATTCTTGATAATCTCTCTCTTTCTCTCCCAGTGAATGTGTGTATGTGCACATATGTGTGTATACATACATATATATGTGTATATATACATATATTGTTTCTGTGTATATATGTGTGTGTTTATATGTGTGTGTATATATATTGTCTCTGTGTGTATATATATATGTGTGTGTATGTGTGTGTGTGTGTGTGTGTGTATATATATATATATATATATATATATATATGGAGAACCCTGAGTAATATAACTTAGTTTTTTCATTCATAACACTTTTTGCAAATTATGACTACACATTTATTTGTCTGCATACATTTGTTTTGTCGATGTCTCTTTTTAGAATGTAAAATAAATCCAGTGAAGGCAAATGTCTTGGCTCTTTTGCTTACTGCTAAATACCTAACATCCAGCACATTGCCTGGAACATAAAAGGTGCCAAATAAATTTGTGCTTATTACATAAATATATAAATAAATGAACTAAATGAAAAATGTGAAATATAGTTTCATTTCCTCACCTGTAGAAAAAGTAAATTGTATTTTTTGGGTGTGTATTTAGCAAGCTTATGTGGGGATCAACTTTAGAAATGCATAAAAAAAGTATATTTAAACCTCTAAACTCCATATAGATACTGGAGATTTTTCAAATATGATTTCGTCTACCAGGTTATTAAATCCAAACTGTAGTAGTGCAGTTTTAATGTCTAGGTATTGCTTTCCTATTAATTTTTAGGCCATCCAGTGGTTTTCTTTAATTGATTTAATATAATTTTACTTTCTCCTCACACTGTTCTCTTCTAGTTTTTCTATAATTTCAAGCATGGGGGTGGCCATGAGTTCATTTGCTTTCTTGGAGGGAACTGTGTCTCAGAGAAGTTGCAACCTGCCCAATATTACCTGTGTTTAATAACTGACAGGAAGAGTTCAATTTATGTGTCACAACTTCAGATCGTTCTGTTAAATCATAGGTGGAAGGCATAGCAAAAAGGAGGGTCAATCATTTTCCTTGAAAGTAAAATAGAATGGTTAGAACAATTTGATTTAAATGATTTTTTTGTTTACTTATTTAGTAATACAAAACTCAGTGTCAGGCCGGGCGTGGTGGCTCACGCCTGTAATCCCAGCACTTTAGGAGGCCGAGGCAGGCAGATCACCTGAGGTCAGGAGTTCGAGACCACCCTGGCCAACAGGGCAAAACCCTGTCTCCACAAAACATACACAAAAAAAATTATCCAGGCGTGGTCGTGCGCACCTGTAATCCCAGCTACCCGGGAGGCTGAGGCAGGAGAATCGCTTGAACAGGGAGGTGGAGGTTGCAGTGAGTTGAGATCGTGCCACTGTACTCCAGCTTGGGTAACAGAGTGAGACTCCATCTCAAAGAAAAGTAAAAAGAAAACTCAGTGCCAGCTATTATTTTTTGTGTTTTTTTTTCTCCTTTTATTTTAGTTTTGGTGGTACATGTTCAGGTTTGTTACATGGGTAAATTGCATGTCACCGAGGTGTGGTGTATGAATGATCCTGTCACTAACGTAGTGAGACACACCCAATAGGTTATTAATTACATGTGTTAGAATTCTAAAGCAAAATAAATGTTCCTTTTCTCTAATATTCTTTTGAACTCTATCAGTTAGAGGCCATCAGTATGATTTTAGAAATGGTGAGTTTCAACCGCGGGCAGGAATTAAGGCATTTCACTGAAACATTATCTGCCTGAATTGTAGCTTTGCAGTTCTTCTCTAAGCTATGTTATATTGATTTGCCATTCACTGTATTTTCTGATGTTAACATTTACTTTGCCTAAAGGAATAAACATAAAAAGACACTTTGTTTTATTTGTCCAAAACAATTTGTGATAGCTGAGATTATCTTTCTGGATTTAGAGTTCAATAAAATTGGCAGGTGACCTGTACTCTAATTATTGTATAGATATGACATTTTATTTATAAAAAACTTGATTTTTTAACACATTAAGTGGAAAATACATTTAAAGAAAATTATATCTGTTAACCAACTTTCCTCATCCTTTAGTATATTATGCTTGTAGTGGAGTGATAGGGTAAAGGCATATGGGTAGTGGGGTAAGTCATATGTAGTAGAGTGAGAGGGTAAAGACATATTATATATACATATATATATGAAAGCATATATATAAAATATGTATAATTTCTTTATATATATAATTAAATTAGCTTTACATAGAGTTTTTCTGCCTCTGTTTGTGTTTCTGTGTAATCCAATGGTGCTTGGTCAAGCTTTCATAGACAGTAATCTTAAGCGTAAGTGAGGTGCTTAGAGTACTTTGATACTCTTAGTGAAGCATTTTTTAAAACAACCCTGACATAATTATTCCCCAATTCTCCCAACAGAAGTAGAGATTACACTATAAGCAATTCATTATTTGCATTGCTTAAATGTACCATAGAGATAATAATAGCCTCCCAGAGATGTTCAAGTCTTAACCCAGAGCCTGTGAATATGTTTCCTTACATGGCAAAAGGATTTTTCATGTGTGATTACATTAAGGATCTTGAAATGAGAGATTATTCTGGATTATCCATGTGAGTCTAATGTAATTGTAAGGGTTCTTATAAGAGAAGAACAGGAAGGTCATAGTCAGAGAGAAAATGTAAAGATGAAAGCAGAGGTCAGATATTTGAAGGTGCTATACTGCTGACATTGCGCATGGAATATGGGATCATGAGCCAAGGAATGCAGGCAGCCTCTAGAAGCGGGAAGAAGAAAGGACATGTATTTTTCTTTAAAGCCTCAGAAGGAACACAACCTTGTTAGCACCTTGATTTTATCTCTTTGAAACCTAGTTAGGACTTCTGACCTCCAGAACCATAACATAAATTTGTGTTGTTTTAACCCATAATGTTAGTCATAATTGTCTTACAGCAATGCCATATGTCTCAGTCTATTTGGGTTGCTCTAACAAAATACCATAAACTAGGCAATTTATAAACATGAGAAATGTATTTCTTACAGTTGTGTTGGATGGGAGGTCCAAGATCAAGGCACCAACAGATTCAGTGTCTGGTGATGACCTGTTCCCTGGTTCATAAATAGTGCCTTCTGTCTGTGTCCTTAAACGGTGGAATGGGCAAGGAAGCTTTATGGGACCTCTTTCATAAGGGCATTGAAACACAGTCCATCCTCGTGATCTAATTATCTCCCAAAGGCCCCACCTCCTAATATCATCACATTCATGATTATGTTTCAACATTATAAATTTTGGGGGAACACAAACATTTCATGTCATTGCAAGCAGCAACAGGACTCTTATATTATACAAAGAGTCACCCTGCATGTCATGATATTTGAATTATGAGCTATGAACACTTTATAATACCTTTCTTTATTTCCTCTAATCACTTCTCATAAAAATACCAAGTACATAAATTGAAACCAAAAGAATGAGAAAATATTTATCAAATATTCAATAAATGTTTACTGAGCAAAAACTAAATTTCAGGGACTTAAAGGTCCTGGAAATAAATATAAGAGTAAAGAATATTAAAACTATAATGCTCTGTTTCAGAGCAGGGGCTGGAGAATACAATTCATTATGGATCTTTAGGCACAACAGAGCTAAGAGAGTTATGCGATCAGATTCATGTGTTTCACATGGTGAAATGTGTGAAAGGCCTCAGAAGAGGTTGTCTTTAGAAGTATCTATAATTCAAGTTAACAGCCTTCAAAGGTTTCAATAGCAGCTAAACCTCATTCATCATTCCAGGAAGAAATAAATCTACTTCAGTTCATCTCACACCATTATTCCAAGGATTGCCTGTGAGTTGTCATTTTTTTTTCTTTGTATGTATTAGTGAAGTTTGCTCTTTAGTTTTAGGACAGGTTATACAAAAGCATCCAAGAAATTTAGTCAAACTACTAGTTTGAATCACCAGCAAAATAGTGAAATCACTGATTTTATACAAGTCACATCAAGATCATGCCAAGTTTTAAAATAAACAATCAGTTGTACAGTTTTAAAACCTTCATTGTTTGGTCATTGCTGTATAGGTGTGTACTCTTGGGATATATACAGGTGTATACTCTTAGGATATATCTGTCTCCTCATTGTGTCTCCAAAATTATTCATTTGCTGCTTGCAATAGTGCCTAACTTTAAAATGGCATGTATGACTATTTAGAAGATACACTTTATCTTATTTGATTCTCTCAGTTTTTTATAGAAATTATAAAAATAATTGTAATTTTTAAAACTTTTTCATCAGGGTAAACTTCAAACTCATAAAAAAGTTGTTTCATCTACCTTAAGAATTGTCAACTGGGGCCAATCTTAATGCATCTATACTTCTGTACTGATTCATTTTGAAGCAAATCTCTTCCATTTTTATCATTTAATTTATAATGATGTTAAGTATGTAGCATGTATCTTCTAAAAGACAAGAATGTTTTAAATATACATAGAAATAATCTAATATCTGAAAAAAGTTTCTTAATTTCAAGTAACTTGTCAATAGAGATCTCAGAATTTGTGTATTACATATAACCTTATATAAGTGCTTAACGTTACATTGTCTCCTATATTTCTGAAAAAAATATTTTTAAAGAGATTGGTCAATTTTTTGGAAATAATATTTCTTAGATGGTATACATTTCCATCAGAAAACACATAACATCTGGTTGTCTCTGTTACGTGCTGTTGACAGCCATATATGATATTTCTAGGAGCCAATATGTTGTTTGAAGTTGGATTATGGCGATACTCTATTTCTACCATTTCTCATAAATAAGTAATTGGCATAATTGTATAAATTTTTTTCTTATCAATTATTTTTTGAATTGAGGTACAGTTTTTATAGTAAGGAGAGATAATCTCTTTGATTTTTCTTTTATTACCCAGTATTTAATATAATGAATTAGTTACCTATTATTCTCTAATTGTGACCATTATTTTTTGTTTTGATTTGGTTGGTTGGTTTGGTTGGTGTTGGCTTTTTGATATCATTATGTACTCATAAATTTAAATATGTTTGATAAGTGTCAATCTATTGCAGTTATCATTCTTATTGATGGGCAAATTATCTCAACTGTACCCAAGGAGAAACTCTTCAAATTGGTCTCTAGGACTTTTTAACGTGACACTAGTCGTCTCATATCTCTTTTGCTATCTGGTTCTATAAGATGTTATAGCAACATCTGGTATACTTTCTAACCCATACCTCAATCAGCCATTTATCCAAGGACACCTGATTGATTTCTTTTGATAGAAAATTGTGTTCAGATTCCAGAATGTAAGTGGCTAGTGGACACATTAGAAATGAATTGTTCATTATTTCCAGATGTTTTTCAGTGGATATTATATTCATTTCCTATTGCCACTATAACAAATTACCACAGGCACAGTGACTTAAAACAATGCAGATTTTCCTCTCCTACAGTTCCAGAGGTCAGAAGTCTAAAATAGGTTGGCAGGGTTCTGTTCCTTCTAGAGGGTGTAGCAGGTAATCTGTTACCCTGTTTTCTTGTGTTTCCAACACAAATATTTCTGAAAACATATTTAGAATAAAATTGAAGTGAAATAATAATTTATTAAAGAAAATGTCTCCAAAACATATTCATGTATTTTTTTTTTTTAGATTTGTAAGTTGTTTTCTTGAATATTTTAGAGCAAACTCATTGGTAGCTTATTCATGTCGTATTGTTAAATTTAGGAAGTTAGAGCGGGTGTGATGGCCCATTCCTGTAATCCCAGCAGTTTGGGAGGCCACAGTGAGGGGATTGCTTGAGGCCAGGAGTTTGAGACTATCTTGGTCAATTTAATGAGATCCTGTCATTATAAAAAATACAAACTTTTTTTGGGTATGGTGGCACTGGAGAGGCTGAAGTGGGAGGATCCCTTGGGCCTTGGAGGTTGAGGTTGCAGTAAGATATGATCATATCACTGCACTCTAGCCTGGGTGACAGAATTATGCCCTGTCTCAAAAAAAGAAGAAAGAAAGAAAAAGAAAAAGAAAATTAAAATAATTTAATGTAGAGAATTAAATTATAATAAGATATAACATAGTATTTTGTTATGAATTCATTTTGGTGAGAGATGCATATATTATTCAGCTAGATTGAAAATATAAATTAATAAATAATAAATAAAAAATAATAAAATACTAAATCTCTCAATTTTGTGATTTGAGAGAAGTCTAATAATATTATTTTTTTTCATGAATTTCTTTGTGGGCTTCATTTTAATGGTTATTTCTGTTCATGATCTAGAAAACTGACTTCATCTTATAATTGCCATGGTTATCCTCTTTCCTCTGTTGAGACTTTATCCCTGCATGGAACTCAGCCTATTGTCTTGGATTCTCCCTTCACATAATCAAAACCATACCAAACCATTTGCCAGTCATGTAAGTTCTTTTCAGCCTTTACCTCTCCTTCCTCACTTTGATTTAACTCTGAAGGACCCAGAGGCATTTTTGTACCTGAAGCTTTTAATGAAGAATTCAAAAACAGCAGGAGATGTACTCATCATGTGGTGGAGATGCCATATGATGTAGCTTGATGCCTGTACTCAAGTTAGACACTTACCCACGCATCCCTTAATAGCTACCAACATATATTTTTCTGACTTAATTAATTTCTTTATGTTCTTCAAAACTCAATTCCATTATTTTACTCTACTGGAGAAGTTTATTCTAGGTTTTCTGCTAGGCTTAGAACTTGTATTTATATATTTGGTCTCATTAATGCCTCAGATAAAAGAAAGACCTATGTATCTATACTTGTTTTATTTATTTCGATAGTTAGAAAGACTATAAAGAACTTCCAAATTTGGGGTTTTATTTTCTTTTCTTTTCCCCTTCCATCTATTTGTACATATAGAGCAGACAGGTTTATAAGTTTATTTTTACATAGATATGAATTTTAGCCACCCACACTTTAAAATTAGTTCAAAAGATTGTACACCTGAGGGATGCAGTGGTTCATGGATGATGACTATAGTTTGTGTATGTTACTTTGTTTATGAATGTGTGTGTTTTGTCTTCTTTAGTGACTATTGCTTTGTGAAAACATAAATATTGTAAACAAAAGTTAAAAACATAAAATTATCTAGAATTCTGTAGGATTTTTATTTTGAAGCTTTTCTGAATTCTCCTTTTGTTCTCTATTTTAAAGCTAAGTGTAATATTCTGTTTTTCTAATTTTTTAAATTAGGAATTCTTAGAAGATATATTTTCAATTATTAATAAACTAACTTTTTGTATACTAAACATACTATTTTGTAATCTATCACTATTCAGCAATTTTGTATATTTACATTTATTTATATTACTTGTATTGTTCAGCAACTTTTGCTAAATATTTATTTTATATTGAGATTATCTCCAAATTTTTATTTATTATTATAATGATGCATAGAATTCTTGCTTAAATATGAACTCACAGTACAATAAAGAAGAGGAAAAATGAAGAAAAAAATCTACCTGAAAAAAAATATAAGACAGATAACCAACATTGAACACATTGTCGTTTTTTGACCATTAGGGGTGGCATCATCACACAAGAGGGAAAGCCAAAGAATAGGATGAAAGTTCAGGTAAGCCATCCAGAGAAATGGACTACATAGAATTCAGGGGTTACAGCAAGAGAGTGATTCAAGTCAGTTAAAAGGAAGAAAAACAATACAGGAGGTACAATGAAAATTTCAAAGGACAGGCAGCAGAGCCTGTGCTGAATGGTTATATTCTTCATGTTGCATCAAAAACAAATGAGCTGCTTCCTAGAGAATAGGCTTCCCAAGTTCGAAAACTACAGCCTGCTATTCTCCCTCAAATCACTACAAAAGGCAAATCCCAGTTAAGACTGTTGGGACCTAAGTTGTTTCCTGATGTTTAAAGATGGTTCATAGATGTCTGATATAATAAATGTGAGTGGAAATTTGAGTAGGAGAGGAGGACGATTTCCTCATAGCTAAAGGAAAAAGAGAAAACAGTATTCCTTTTTCTTTTCTTTATTCTAAAAAAAAAAAAAAAGAAAAAACGGGATACATGTGCAAAACATGCAGCTTTTTTACCTAGGTCTACGTGTGCCATGTGGTTTGCTGCATGTATTGACCCATCCTCTAAGTTCCCTCCTTTCAACCCCCACCCTGCAATGGGCACTGGTATGTGTTGTCCCCCTCTCTGTGTCCATGTCTTCTCAATGTTCAACTCCCACTTATAAGTGAAAACATGTGGTGTTTGGTTTTCTGTTCCTGTGTTAGTTTGCTGAGGACGATGGCTTCCAGCTTCACCCATTTCCCTGCAAAGTTCATGATCTCATTTCCTTTTTATGACTGCATAGTATTCCATGGTGTATATGTACCACATTTTCTTTATCCAGTCTATCATTGATGGGTATTTGGATTGGTTCCAAGTCTTTGCTATTGTAAATAGTGCTGCAATAAACATACATGTGCATGTTTCTTTATAGTGGAATGATTTATATTCCTTCGGTTGTATACCCAGTAATGGTATTGCTGGGTCAAATGGTATTTCTGGCTGGGTCAAATGGTATTTCTGGTTTTAGATCATCGAGGAATCACCATACTGTCTTCCATAATGGTTGAACTAATTTTCATTCCCACCAACAGTGTAAAAGCATTCCTATTTCTCCACAGCCTCGCCAGCATCTATTGTTTCCTGACTTTTTAATAATTGCGATTCTGACTGGCGTGAGATGGTATCTCACTGTGGTTTTGATTTGCATTTCTCTGATGAACAGTGATGTTGAGCTTTTTTCATATATTTGTTGACTGTGTAAATGTCTTCTTTTGAGAAGTGTCTGTTCATATCCTTTGCCCACTTTTTGGTGGGGTTGTTTGATTTTTTTCTTGTAAACATTTTTTAAGTTCCTTGTAAATTCTGGATATTAGACGTTTGTCAGATGGATAGATTGCAAAAATTTTCTCCCATTCTGTAGGTTGCCTATTCACTCTGATGATAGTTTCTTTTGCTGTGCAGAAGCTCTTTAATTTAATTAGATGTCATTTGTCAGTTTTGGCTTTTGTTGCAATTGCTTTTGGCATTTTTGTCATGAAGTCTTTGCCCATTCCTATGTCCTGAATGGTATTGCTTAGGTTTTCTTCTAGAGTTTTTATGGTTTCGGGTTTTACATTTAGGTCTTTAAACCATCTTGAATTAATTCTTGTGTAATTGCAAGGAAGGGGCGGAGCCAAGATGGCACACTAGAAGCAGTGGCATTTGGAGGCATGGAAAAGAAATACAATAATAAGTGTGTGACTCCTTCACCGGCAACCAAGCTGTCCAGGTTCTCTCATCAAAATTGACTAGAAAGCTGGCGTGACTCACGGAGAGAAGGAAGAACAGTGTTGGTGCAGGGGCCCACCTGAGAGCCACAGGAGGAAGGGGAACCTCCCTCCCCCCAGCCAATGGAGGCAGTGAGTGAGCGTGCTATCCAGTTGGGGAAACTGTGTTTTTTCCACATAACTGTACAACTAACGGATCGGAAGATCCCACTCTCAAACCCATGTCACCGGGGCCTAGTGTCCCGACCCTGGAATGTGCAGATTCTTACAGCCTCTTAGCTGGAATCTGCTTATGCTTACGGAACTCCTGGCTGGGAGGGACGACCAATACCAGCTGCAGCTGCCTGCTGTCTAAGCCATTTGAGCTACTTATCCTCAGATAAGTAAGATAGTTGGACAAGATTAGAGAGAAAGGGGAGCTTTCAGGTCCCTCCATACCCCACATCCAAGCCATGAGAAAGCAACTTCAAAAGAGCTATTTGGTGAACCTGATACGAGTCCTCTGGAGCTAGTAGAAGCTACAGGTTGGTGCCTGACTCTTGCCTTGAAAAGTTAAAAGGTATGAGGCTGGATGGAGTTGCCTCTGATGGGAGATTGAGAAGAAAGGACTGTGGTAATCTGCACTTTCAAGTTGGAAGAGTAAAAGTGCAAAGTTCCTGAGGGGACAGAAGAAAGCTGTGAGGGTTAAAGCACATTCAAAGTGGCCCCAGCCAAGGGGATGACCGGCAGGGTATCATGTCTCCCCAAAATAGAGCTATTCTGAAACATATTGAAATAGAAATTGAGAGGGAAATCTAACAAGGTCAGTATAAGTTTGCATTTTGGCCTATCTCATGGAAGTGCCGAGAGGGGTCCTGAAGAACAAGTAGCACTAGTACCAGAATACAAAGTTATAGTCTTATAAGCCTTTTACACTCCTTACCTCTCCTCCCCTCCTTTGGTTCAATCCACACAGTGCCAGAAGCAAGACAGGGAGTGGAGAAGGAGGATGCAGGAAGGAGGTGGAGTGTAGGCAGAAATATTATGCAACTGAGCGGTTCCTTCATCTTCATGTTTTCCATATCAGGTTAATTAGCCACAGTCAATCTTGAACATTAAATCAACAAAGGTGTTAAAATTTTATTCATATACCAAACGAGGCTTTTGAAAATGCCAAAAACTAAAAGGGGAACGATTGTTCACCTCTGAGAGTAAGATTGATATTCATTTCTTTTGAGTTATTAGTAGCAGTACTGGCTATTTAAAAAAAAAAAAAAACAACAACATGAAGTCTTCTGTAGTGGCTGAAAAGTGCTTTACTATTCTAGCCACACCAGGAACTTCTCTGAGATATTCTGGATACCCCGTACCCTAACCACTATTTTGCAACTACTGTTTTAGTGCTTGGTGTAGGAGGGAGTCCCCAACATCACATTCCTGTTGATTGACTGGTTAGTGCCCATGTTGAACACATTATTAAATATTCGACTATTACCCAGACCAGAAAAGTTGCCTGAAAAGCTGTAGGATCATGTGATAGAATGATGAGAAACAATATTTATTTTGCTGATTGTATGGCAGCAAATCCAGCTCATCTAAAAAATGGCTTTAATAGTAAAAAATACACATTATTGATTCTACATTGTATCATCTGCTTTTAGGCATTAGGTAATATGTTTCCTAGCAGTTTTCTGGGGTAAGCATTATCAAACCTATTTTACAGATGAGAAAACTGGGGCTCAGAAAGTAAATTTTTCCAAGTTAACAAAACTAGTAAGTGGCTGAGCTTGATTTTCAAACACAAGTGTGCCTCCAAAGACTATTCTTTCACTTTTCATATATTGCCTCTGATTCAGTCTTCCTGGACTTTTGCTTCCATTTTTATTACTTGTGCATTATGAATTTTTTTCCTCTGGTTTGCTTTCCTTTACACTAATAAGAACTGCAAAAAAAAAGTGTTTCTTTTTATTTGATTTTGCTTATTGGTTTCTTTTAACCTCAACATTACTTTTAGGCAAACATGTACTGGAAATTAGTCTGGGAAAATCTGATGTGAAGGACAGTAAAACATTCTCCTTTTGTAAGTTTGCTTTTTCAAAGTGAACTTCTGTAGGGGTAGTTTTAGCTTATCTTCATAGTAACCTGCTTTTTTGCAGAAACTGACAAAGTTGAGAACATCATTAACAACCACATTATGAGGCTTATCAACCCTTAGTGTAATATATGTAATAGAGTAGACATGAAATGTATGCTAATTATTATAGTTTTAGCTATTAATTCTTGATGTTGCTGAGAAAATGAGTTTCAAGTTCCCATTTTCAAATATTTCCTGTTGCACAGAATGTTAAAAATATTTTCATAGGTTACCATCTGCTAAAATAATTTAGTTAAAATTATATTTCTTATTATTGATTCACAAAGTAAATATATTTTTTAATTTAAATGAACAAGCAAATAAGCAATTATTGACGACAATGAATGTAAAAAAAATTTACTTCTTCATTCTATGTATAAAATCCTATCATCTGAAGGTGAAGAGACACATTTGGAAGCTGCAAATACCAAGAACAAGGCTGAGGCAGTTGAAAATTAAAACCACACACAAGGCCCAGTATGACATTTTAGATGTTAAATGGAATACAATTCATTTTAGATTGGATGGCCATTGTAAACCCAGGTCACTGTATGATCTGCAATTTATATTGAGATGAAGCAGAAATAATTTTTCTGCCTCAGCTTCTTGGCTTTTAATATAATGTTTCACAGATGTCTGACCTTTGGTTTTAATATGATAATGTGGCTTCCCCCGAACTAACACCTAAAAGCTGATTGTCAGAACAGAAGTTGTTTTTAAAAGAAGAATTATACCAGATTGTGTACAAAAAGAGATGCTATGATTTTTCTTTTTAAATTCTAGATATATCAAGTTTACTTGTTCTCAGAGGTATTTCAAGATCAGTAGGCAAATATAAAAGATAGGTTTTGTTAAAGCAGAAATTATTATTAATAGTTTTTAGTTAGTTGATTGAGAGAAATGTTCAATTCTCCTTTGGAAGTATATTCATTTTTTATTACAGTTGTCACTTTGTCTTGAAGCTTTATTGTATACATCTTGTTGTCACTTGATGTCATTGCTCCTTTTTTGTCAATGCTATTTCTATGTAGCATCATTTATATTCAAATTAAATGTTTTTCCTGTTTTTAATTTTTTAAAAAAATTTTACTTTTAAGTTATGTGGGTAGATAGTAGCTGTACATATTTATGAGGCACATGAGATAGTTTGATAAAGGTGTACAACGTGTAATAACTGAATCAGGGTAAATGGGGTAACAATCACCTCAAACGTTTATCTTTTCTTTGTGTTACAAACAATCTAATTATTCTCTTTTAGTTATTTTTAAATGTACAATAAATTATTATTCACTGTAGTCACCCTGTTATGCTATCAAATACTAGATCTTATTCATTCTAACTGTATTTTTGTATTCATTCACTTTCCCTTCTTCCTCTCAGAAATCCTTCCCAGTCTCTGATAACCATCATTCTACTCTCT
The DNA here is from genome assembly GCF_000001405.40 of Homo sapiens. NCBI lineage: Eukaryota > Metazoa > Chordata > Mammalia > Primates > Hominidae > Homo > Homo sapiens. The sequence continues at coordinate 56,412,258 of NC_000010.11, forward strand.
ATCTCCATGAGTTCAATGGTATTAATTTTTAGCTCCCACAAATAAGTGATTACATGAAAAGTTTGTATTTCTGTGCCAAACTCATTTGACTTTTTTCCTGTCTTCCTTTTAGTGAAGGTGTTTTTCTCTGGTAATGTGTTTTAATTTCTTGCTTTTTATTGTTTGTGTATCTGTTACATGTTTTTTAATTTGAGTTTACCATGAGGCTTGCAAATAATGTCTCACAACCCATTATTTTAAATTGATGACAACACTGACTGCATAAACAAAAAATCAAAAAGAAAACTAATAAAAACTCTACATTTTAACTTCGTCCCCCCATTTTTTAACTTTTTGTTGTTCTATTTATATTTTATTGTACTGCCTATATCTTGAAAAGTTATTGTAGGTAGTATTTTGATAGGTTCATCTTTAATCTTTGTACTCAAGATGTAAATAGTTTATATACCACCATTATGGGGTTATACTATTCTGTGTTTTTCTGTTTGTTTACTGTTATCAGTGAGTTTTGCACCTTCAAATTATTCTTACTAGTCATTAAAGTCCTTTTGTTTCAGATTTAAAAATGTCCTTTAGCATTTCTTGTAGGAAAGGTCTGATGTTGATGAAATGCATTGTCTTTCATTTGTCTTGGAAAGTATTTTCTCCTTCAAGTTTAAAGCGTATTTTCGCTGGACATATTACTCTAGGATACAAGTTTTTTTTTTTTTCCTTCAACATTTTAAATATGCCATGCCTTTCTCTCCTAGTAAGGTTTCCACTGAAAAGTCTGCTGCCAGATATATTGGAGCTCCATTTTATGTTATTTGTTTCTTTTACTGCTTTTATGATCCTTTCTTTATCCTTGATATTTGGGAGTTTAATTACTAAATTAGTAATCTTCTTTGGGTTAAATCTCCTTGACGTTCTATAATCTTCTTGTACTTGAATATTGATATTTTTCTGTAGTTCTGGGAAGTTCTCTGTTATTATGTATTTGAATAAATTTTCTACCCTTGTTTATCTCCTTTTTAAGGCCAGTAACACTTAGATTTGCCATTTTGAGGCTATTTTTAGATATTGCAGGCATGCTTCTTGATTTTTCTTCATTCTTTTGTTTCCTCTGACTTGTATTTTCAAATAGCCTGTCTTCAATCTCACTAATTCTTCTACTTGATAAACTCTGCTGGTAAGTGACTCTGATGCATTTCTCAGTGTGTCAACTCCATTTTTAACTCCAGAATTTCTGCTTTCTGCTTGATTCTTTTAAATCATTTCAATCTCTTTGTTAAATTTATCTGATAGAATTTTGAATTCTTTCTGTATGTTTTCTTGAATTTTCTTGAATTTCTTTGAAACAGCTATTTTGAATTCTCTTTCAGACAGATCACATATTTCTGTCTCCCCAGGATTGGTTCCTGATGCCTTAGTTCATTTGGGGTGGTCATGTTTTCCTAGATGGTCTTGATGTTTGTGGATTTTTTTTGTGTCTGGGCACTGAAGAGTTATGTATTTATTATAGTTTCTGCAGTCTGGGCTTGTTTGTACTCATCCTTCTTGGAAAGGTTTTCCAGGTATTCAAAGGGACTTAGATTTCGTAATCTAAGTTTTTTGTCTTCCCAGCCATATCTGCATTAGGGAGCACTCCAAGCCTAGTAATGCGATGGCCCTTGCAGACTCACAGAGGTACTGCCTTGGTAGTCGGGGATAAGATCTTGAAGAATCCTCTGGATTACCAGGTCAAGTCTTATTCTTTTCCCTTATTTTTTCCTAAACAAATGGAGTGTCTCTCTCTGTGCTGAGCTGCCTGGAGCTAAGGGAGGGGTGACATAAGCAGCACTGTGGCCACCACAACTTAAACTGTACAAAGACCTGGAGTCAGCGTGGTACTGGGTCTCACAAAAGGCTCCACAGTAACCACTGCCTGGCTACCTCCTGTGTTTCTTAAGAAACCAGGGCTCTTCAATTAGCATTCAACAAAACCATCCAAGTTTCTATGCTTCCCTTCAGAGTGTCCAGGTCCCCTTGGCCCCAGGTTGGTCCAGAGATGCTGTCTGATAGCCAGAGTCTGGAATTGGAAACCCTAGGAATCTAACTGGTGTTATACTCTACTGTGGCTCAGCTGGCACCCAAGCCACAAGACAAAATTCTTCCCACTCTTTCCTCCCCTTTTCACAAGTAGAGGAGTCCCTCTCCATGGCCAACACTGCCCCAGGCCCATGGTGAGTACTGCCTAGATACCAGCAATGTTCACTCAAGGCCCAAGGGCTCTTCAGTCAACTTGTTGTAAATGCTGCCAAGCCTGGAATTCTCCCTTCAGGGCAGTGGGCTCCCCTCTCACTCAGGGCAGGTCTAGAAATGCCGTCCAAGAGGCAAGGCCTGGAATCAGGGATCCCAAGTGCCTACTGGTTGCCTTAGCCCACTGTGGCCAAGCTAGTATTGAAACTGATTTTTGGTTCTTATGAGGGTGCTGTTTTGTTAGATTTTTCATTCTTATGAAGGTGCTGTTGTTCAATTTATTGTTCCTTTAGGGAGAATGATCAGTGAAAGCTTCTATTTTGGTCATCTTGCTCCACCTCCTCTCCTAATTGTTACTAGTTGTTTTCGCACTCTTATCTGCATCTCTGACTCTCTAATTCAGGTGACATTCTGAGCTTCATTGATATTTTTTCTAGTCTTTTCCTTATAGATTTCTGAATTAATGACAGCAGGAAGATGGACAAAGCCATTTTCTATTAGTTTGACAGCTTTTTTTTAAACTGGAACTAATCACTATCCTCAGATAAATGAGTGAGAAGTTTTTGGAGTATCTTTAAATCTTTAAGAACATTTTTATTGTTGGTAATTATATATTTGAACACTCATAGTATTACTTTTTGAGTGTGGTTCAATTATCTATTCTTGTTTCTCCATAATTGCTTGTTAAATGTTTCTGGGCTGGGCATGGTGGCTCATGCTTGTAATCTCAGCACTTTGGAAGGCTGATGCAGAAGGATTGCTTGAGCTCAGAAGTTTGAGACCAGCCTGGGCAACATAGCAAGACCCTGCCTCTACAAAAAATACAAAAATTAGTCAGGAATGGTGGCATGTGCCTGTAGTCCCAGCTACTTGGGAGGCTGAGGTTGAAGGATCTCTTGAGCCCAGGAGATCAAGGCTGCAATGAGCTATGATTATGCCATTGCACTCCAGCCTGGGTGACAGAGTGAGAACCTGTCACCAAAAGGAAAAAAAATAAGTTTCTGGTGCTAGGTAAGGATCGCAAGTCTTTACACTAGTTTTACAACTGTTAAGTCATCATTTGCCATAAATCAAAGTTCTCGCCTTGATATTTGTTTTCCCATCCATTATTTTATGGGCAATTCCCTCTAAACCTATCATTGGTTATTCTTTTAATCTCTTTCTTATCTATTCAGATGTATTTTACTTGACACTAGAAAATGTTTCTTTGCCTATAAAGATTTCTTCTTTTTCTTTTTATCCAATAGCAATTATAAAACTCAAAAGCGAACTATCAATGAAAAGTGGCCAGATCATACAGTTTTTCATTTTCCCTGCAGCCAGATGAGATGCTCTCAATTGACTGTTCCTAGAAGCCTGGAACTGCCAGTTCTTCAAGTCACTTGACTAAGTGGACATTTCTGCACATCTCTCCTTGGACTTGGATTAACTGCCTCTTGTGTGCCCACCTTCTCCATTCTAACTGGCTTCACACTTTTTCCTGCTGTCTGATATCTTAATGCTAAACTTCTCTTCTCCTGTAGTACCTGAATAGCTTTGATCTGCAAGATGCTCCAACATTTCTTCTTGCATAAAATCCAATCCTTATTTATGCTGATATGTATGTCATCCCCCTCCAGTTTTACTCTTAAAAGCTCTCTATTATTTCAGAACTCAAACAATATGTTATACTAGCCATTCTGTTTCTTTTATCACAGATTCTCTTGACTAGCTTTTAGTCCAGAATTTACTTAAATATATAAATGAAAGGTGCTGTTCCTTTTCAATATCTTCCTCTTTTATATTCCTCAGCCAAACTCGTCTCCATATTTTCATTTAAGTACTTCTTATTCTTAATGTTCTGTACTAAATTATCATCATTTTTCTCTCACTGACTGATGATACATCACCGTTTCTCATCAGCATTCATCCATCCCATAATATTTCATTTTCATACTTTGAGTTGGTTCACTTAATAACTAGATTCTCCCTGTGGTTAACATTCCAATTATTTCATCTCCATTTCCTTAATGTTGTCTACATTTCATGTTATTTCTCTCTGATTTTATTTCATTTTTTGTGTGTATGACAGATTTCCCTACCACAGTATTTCTCTTCTCAAGTTTACACTTTTATTCTTCAGTAAGGTTTTTTTTTCACATTTTATATCAATTCTGCCTTTTATGTGAAATCCTATTAGCTGTTGTTTTATAACTTGTGCTTGTAATGCAGATGGCAATTATCATTATATATATATATATATATATATATATATATATATATATATCTTCAAAACACCATATAGGCACTTATCTTCTAAATTCAATACAATTTGTAGAACCATGACATATGTTGGGGATGAAGATGCAAATAATTTAGATACTCCCCCAAGGGAGCTCATGGTACATTGGGATTACAAGAGAATAAACAGCATATTTTGCTGTATTTTAATGAGCATTTAGACCAGGGTTTTCCAATCTTTTGGCTTCCCTGGGTCACACTGGAAGAACTGTCTTGGGCCACACATAAAATACACTAGCACTAAAAATAGCAGATGAGCTAAAAAAATGCAAAAAAAAATCTCATAATGTTTTAAGAAATTTTACAAATTTGTGTTGAGCTGCGTTCAAAGCCATCCTGGGCCACATGTGGCCAATGGGCCATGAGTTAGAAAAGCTTGGTTTAGACAGAGTTATACAGAGGAGGCTGTGGGAACCCAGAAGAGAAGCATTTAATCCAGTCAGAGGGAAAAGTGCCTGCTGAATTAGTTGGTTCCCTGAGGACAGAGTCTGTGAGTGCCTTGTTCACAGTTCTTTCCCTGTTCTAGTACTTCTCTGTGCATATTGAGGGCACATATAAAATATTTAGTGAGGAAATGAGTAAGTAAAATGGCACATATGTAGATTTCTGGAACATGCTTAAGATGGCTGCAACGTTACCAAATCAGGGATAGAAAAGCTACTGAGGACTCAGGAAACCACAAGGAGTTGACAAGACAGATTTGTAGATGCAGGTAGTTCATCTCAAGATGCAGGTAGTTCAAAACTCATAGGTGTTCAGAGGCCACTAAATGCTTTGAAGTAGGAAAGTGACATGATCTGACATATGTTTTAGAGAAATAATTCTGATCTGCAATGTGAAAAATAGATTTGAGTGGTAGAGAGTGCAGAGGCGGGGGTGAGGAAGTCCTTTAGGTGTCGCAGCTAAGACAGTGGTGATCAAATGGACTGGATGCAAAATAAGCAACAATCTCCCTCATCCTGAGTTGACACAATGAACTAGTAGAAAGGAAACGAACTTCTAGATTCGCTGTCCCTCTAAGTGACTTTTTCTGAATCAAAGAGAGTTTGACATATTCTTTGAGAAATATGCCAGATGGAGATTCTGTTTCCTCACCCCTGTTCCAGATACCCAGACATTCCAAATTTCTATTTTACATACCATACAGGTAAAAGAGACAGTAGTTACTGTATTCAAGGTTAGGATTACATGTCTCTGAGATATTTCTTCCCACTTCTAACTTGGGTAAATGCTGGTATTTCACTTTCTTTTTTTCAGAGTTAATCATGTCTAATCCCCACCCATTGTCCAAGGGATCTTTTCACCAAGGCCTTTCCCATTTGTGTCCAGCCATTTGATCTCACCAAACTTCATCAGTAGATTTCTTCAAGAGGTTTTCATTATAATTTTATCAATTAATAGAATTCTGCTAATCAATATCAATTGCTAATTTAAAATGAAATGAATATATTCAGAGTTACCTACTCTAACTTAAACCTATGTTTCAGATAGTTATTCTAGGTATAGTTGTTGCCAGCTATCAATTAAAAGTTAATTGACTTCCGATTCTTCCAGATATTTAACTCCCTAAATTTGGAAGGGGGTTAGAATATTGTAATATCTACTTTCAACTCTAACACAGTGAAATCTGGACTACAGCTACTGTATGTGAGTGTAATTCTTCTCTCACCATAGAGACTCTGATAAGGTTCATTTATTTTCTCTTTGAAATTGTAGTAAAAGGAGTGGGGTATTCATCAAAGGAAATATGTGAATAAATATGATATTTGTTATTAACAAACTGATGTTTGAACAATTCATCCAGACTGTAAGAATTAACTACTAACATAGCAATAAATCTCTTTTGGCTGAATACTATATTTACAGGGAATAGAAAAATCAATTTTATCATTGAAACTACATTCGGATGTGAGATCAATGTAATTTTTGAATCAGCCATTTCCTTACTCTGTCTCCAGAGAAGCTGAGATCAAAATTTACATATTATTAACTATTTAAAATAAATAAACCAAAAGGAAACTCTTGAGATTTGCTTCTGGGAAGATGGTGACAGAATTTCCGATACTTGAAAATATAAATATTTGCTTTTATCTTCTTATAGAAATCCTAAGAGTATTCCATTTCTAGCCTGTTGTAAAAAAAAAAAAAATGCCACCAAGTTTTTCTCAAGAAAATATGCAACCAAGTCTCTCTGTTTTCAGTGTGTTTCTTTTAAGCAAGTATATACAAACAAGCTTACTCTGATAGAAAATGCATCTGTTTTCTAATCAAACAAAGAGAGAAAGCTGAAAGTGCTGATGCGTGCCGTCTGTGAATGGTTGTTAGGATGCTATGATATGCCTACCTGAGGGGAAAAACACAGTTAATAAGGAGAGGGAGAAAAACTACTGAGTTACAAATAGATTTCAGATTAAGATGCCACTCAGAATAGTTCTCAAATGCCACAAGCGTTAAGACAATAGAATAGATATACAAAGAGTAGACAATTGCCTCTCTCAATAGTACCCTTATATTTACTTTGCTCTATGCAGTTTTCATTTACTATGTTGTCTTAATGTCCTGACTAACTAAGCAACTGTCCCTCCTCTTTTCTCCTTTAAAGAATCTCACATTTAGACAGATTATATGATCACCTTAATTATGTATAATAATGTAGAAAAGTTACTTGATAACTTTAGCTTTACATCAAAAACTCTGATTTTCTAACCCTAAAATTTGATACCTAGCATGAAAGATAGTCCCTTTAACAAAGTATTTGGTTTGAGAGGGTTAAATATTGTGCTCTTCTGGAATATTGACTATTTAAGAAAAGGCACTTGAAAAATAGCAGGTGTAAGAAAAACACTTTGATCTTCATACTGTTTCTTAAAAGCAGAAGATGAAGTTACTGTGTGAAAGAAACCCTTTCTATACTTGACATACGTAGCATCCTTTTCCTCAAGGACAAGAAGTTGAAATTAAGAGAATTCGGTACAGACTTTGCTAGAATAACTTATCTTTTAAACCTCCACATATTTTAGTCATGTTTTCACTGTTTAGTATTCCTTGTCCAATTTAGTATATAAGTAACTGACTCTGGTTCTTCTGATCTTCAGTTCTTTATGAGGGTTCCCAAGCCTTATAAAACTTTTCTTAAGTCAATGTAATTCTTGGACCCAACAAGAAACTGAAGAGGATAGAAGTGGAAGTCTTCTGCCCGTACAGGCTCTTTTTGACCTCTCATTTGAACATGTTCTGGCATTCAATACTCTCAAATAAGGAACTCAAAATTACACTGTCCATCTCACTATGAAAGTCGTTGTGAATGTTACTCCAAAATAGGAAGAATATCTTGAAAAGAACACACTGGGAAACAGCATACATCTATAGATTTCAAGACATAGAAGGAAGGATAGCCAAAATGCATTTCAATGATCTTTTCCTTGGTCAACTCCAAGTAAATTTGTTTATATCTATAGCACTGAAAAAAAGTACGGATACTTTTTGCAAACACCAAGAGTTCACTAGGCCATTTAGTCTACGCTCTTCTCTCTTAAATTTTTCTCTAGTCCTAATTAGTTATTCCTTTCAAATGTTTCAGACTTCTAATTATAAGAAATGGCTTTCACCTCATTGCTGGCACTTTAAGGTTTCTGCACTGTGACTCAAGTTACAATTCTTTAAGAAAGCATCCAAAAGGAACTTGCTAGCCAAAATTTCCTTTTCTTCTCTGAATTTCTAATTCTATTTCTACAGTAGACCACGAATGGCATCCTAATCCCAGAGTATTAAAATATTAAGAAAACAAATATCTTCTGTTGCATTTTTCATTATCATTATTTCTGGTCTTCTGCATTTTCAATTCTTTATTCCGGAAGGTGATAAACATACAAACCTCAACCTTGATCATACAGATTTCAAAGCCATTGCTTATTCCTGAATACCAATATCCACAAGCTCTCACTCTACCTCAGTGTCCAGTAAGTACAAATCAACATTTATAACCATTGTTCTGCACATATCCTAGTGATACTGATGAATAATTTGAGGCTGAAGAAACTGTTTTTCTATTTTCTAATTAGATAATTTTATTTTATCTGCTGTCAAATCTATCTGGAGATACACGGGCAGCCTTAAAATACTTATGCTAAGAAAAGTTTCATAAATAATTTGGCAGTTATGTTTTCTATGTTTACTTGTCAATTTTCATGGGCTCAGTAAGTGCAGCTAACAGCTTTTTAAAAATCCTAGCTTTAATATAATATTTTATAGTCACATTAACGGATCAATATACAATTGAAATATTATAAAATCCATGAACAACCATTTACTTACCTACACAATTAATGTTATGTAAATATGTATATTACACACATATGTGTGTGTGTATATTTGTGTGTGTGTGTGTGTGTGTGTGTGTGTGTGTGCAGGAAGTAGAGAAAGCCAATGCTACCTAAACCAGAAGCTAATAATTTTAAAAGAAGTAAAGACAAAATGTGTATTCATCCTGTTATTTCCTTTTAAACTCTTGTGAAAATCTTTTCCATCACAGCTCCTTAGTTTTCTGTGCTCTCTTCCAAATAGTAAATAATATTATTTATGGATTGAGGCTGTTTGTGAATATGAGCATTGTGTTGTGGGTCTGATAGTGGAAGTCTGGTTATAATGTCTAAGATCAGGATGTGCATATTTAAAATCTGAACAGTAAAAGAGCAGTCTTTTCTTTAGGGAAATGCTTCTAGTACAGACATGCATAGATTTACAAATCATTACAAAAGAAATACTAAGGTATCAATTCCAGAAATTTTCATTGTGATGTATTACTCATCCTAGTTTTTATTTTTCAAAGTCTTGCATGTCAAGTCTAAACAGAGAACATACATTGTTAGGATGTATCATTTGTAGCAATGGGAAGAATTAGTAAAGAATCTGATATAACCTATACAGTTGAATAAAATCTTTATACCAGTGATAGCAGTACTACAAAAGATTAATATGCTTTGAGCTTCAGTGAATCTAAGGAGAAATATATCAAGTTAAACTCTAAGCAAATAATTTTATAGCAGAAAATAATTTTTGGGAGATCAAAATTGCTATTGAATCAAAACTGCAAATTTTACTATATTATCTACTTCAGTTTGTATTCTAGTGTAAAGTACTTAGATTTTCTTCTTTATTTTAACTCCATATCCAAGAGACATTTACACAGAAGAACTGTATATGAAAGTTTCTTTTTCTTCAGATATGCCAATGTCCTTTTCACCTCAGGGTCTTTGCACATACTGTTATTTTTCTTGAACATTCAGACCATTACATGACTGCCTCCTTTTCATCATTTAGCTCAAATGACACCTCCTGAGGTAGGCCTTTCCTCATTACTCTATTAAACAGGAGATGCCTCTTCACTCTTGTCAGAGAAGATTAAATCTGCATTGCCTTAGAAAACTGCAATGGCTTCCCCTGAAGCAGTTGTCATGCAAGATCATGTTGATTTTCCTCAGGACTCATCCTCACCACCATTTTTCCTTCTAGAATTATAACTAGACTCACGTCTCAGCAGTCCCCTACAGGTGAGGTACAAAGTGTGACCCAGGAGGTATACTACACTCAAAGATAACTACTTGAGTTTTCTAATTTGTACATAAATAGTGAATATGTGTGGGAATGGATAGTGAAAATGTGGGATAGTGGTGGAAGGACTATGAAGTTAGGTCTGGCTGAATTTATTGATATAGGCTCTCTAAGCAGAGATCCTGAATTTAATGTGGCAGCTTGAAGAGATAGGAAGAACTCTAACAATTTGGTTGGTTGGCTGAAACATTGGTCAAAATGGGATTCACAAATGGTATACAGCAATTTGGAAATGCTGGATCTGCCTTGGTTTAATGTAGGAGAGAGGGTTGAATGGCTTAGGAAGATGGGAATGTTAGAGTGAATTTGTGATTCAAGATATATTCACCCTCACTGGAAGCAGCCAGAAGACATACCTTTCATCATGACTGTGGAAAATATATTTGTGAGGGGAACCCTAGCATCCTTGAAGAGTTCTGTGGTCACTCTTGTCTGTAGGCATGCCTTATAATGGGAATCACGCTCACTGAATTGGAAAACCTAAATGCTGTGGAAGTAACTGGATTCTGGGTACAGCAGGGGCCAAGTTGTGGTGCTCAACTACAAAGGCAAGGTTGGCTTGGACAGCAGAGTCAAAGCAGCAGTCAAAATAATCTGACTTTTGCAGACCTATGGTCTCAGCTAGTTGAATATGGTGTTCCTAGAAGTGAAATAGTTAGGAATCCTACTAAATTACTACTTAATTTATGTAAGAAGAAAAGTTGTAGGTCAAGTGCACAAAAATCTAACCTGAATCATAGGGAGGGAGAGTCATAATCCATCAATCAGTTCCCAGATTTGAGCCAGTTTACAGACCCAGAATCCCTTAAATGAAGGGTAGGCTGGTCTAGCCAGGTACGCTGCTAAAACATTTATACTGTTAATCTTTCTCCAAGTCTTCCTCAATAAACTTATGGCCTTCTACCAGAGTAACTCTATATTTGGAAAAAGAAAGTAATCAGATCTTTCAAGGACTACTGGACACTGGCTCTGAACTGTCACTAATTCCAGGAGACCCAAACAGTCACTAAGGTCCATAGTCAGAGTACGGGCTTTGGGAAGTCAGGTGAGCAAAGGTTTAGCGCACGTTTATCTTACAATGGATCCAGCGGCTTCCCAAACCCATCCTTTGGTTATTTATCCAGTTCTGAAATGCATAATTGGAATACATATATTCAGCAGCTGGCTAAATGTCCATATTGGTTTTCTTACCTGTGGACTGAGGACTATTATGGTAAAAAGGGCTAAGTGGAAGCCACTATACCTGCCTAGGAAACCAGGAAAACAAAAATGAAAACAAACACAAATACAAAAGAAAAACTGCAATTCCTAAGGAATTGTCTAGATTAATGCCGCCATCAAGGATTTGAAAGATGTAGGGGTTGTGATCCCCACCACATACCTATGAGGACTGTGCAGAAAAAAAAAGAAAAAGTGGATCTTGGAGAATGACCATTATTTTTGAACACTTAACCAAGTAATGACTTTAATTGCTGCTACTATACCAAATGTGGTTTCATTGCTTGAGCAAACTAACACATCTCCTGATCTTGGTATGCATGTGTTGATATTGCAAATAAATTTTTATCCATCCTTGTCAATTATAACCACTTGAAGTATTTTGCTCAGGGCACAAGACCAGCAATACACCTTAAGGTCCCACCTAGACGTATATCAACTCTCCATCACTATGTCATAATTTAGTTTTCAAGCATCTCGATTGTCTTTCCCTTCCATAAGATATCACACTGGTACATTACATTATGTTGATTGGAATTAGAGACCAGGAATTAGCCACTACTCTAGACTTATTGGTAAGACATTTGTGTGTCAGAGGATGGGAAATAAATGTGAAAAATATTCAGGAGGCTTCTACCTCAGTGAAATTTTTAGGGTACAAATGCTATGGGGTATGTCAAGATATTCCTTTTAAGGTAAAGGATAAACTGCACCTGGCCCCTCCTAATACCAAAAAAGAAGCACAATGACTAATGTGTCTTTTTGGACGCTAAAGATAAAGATAATGTTTTTTCTCATTTGAGTGTGTTACAATAACTTCTTCACCAGATGTCACCAAAAGCTGCTAGTTTGGGATGAGGCTCAGAACAAAAGAAGGTTCTACAGCAGGTCTAGGCTGCTGTGTAAGCTCCTCTGCCACTTGAAGCATTTAATTCAGCAGATCCAATCATATTTGAAGTATCAGAGATGTTTGGAGCATTTGGAAGGCCCCTGCAGGTAAATTACAGTGAAGCCTCTTAGGATTTTCGAGCAAAGCCCTTCCATTCTCTATGGATAATTACTACCATTTTGAGAAATAGCTATTGGCCTGCTACTGTGACTTAGTAGAGATTGAACACTTAATCATGGGCCACCAAGTTACCATGTGACCTGAGCTGCCTATTATCAACTGAGCATTGTGTGACTCACCAAATCAGAAAATTAAGTGTGCACCTCTTTATTAAGTAGAAGTGATATATACATGATTGAGTCCAAAGAAGTCCTGAGTCACTACTAAGTTACATGAAGTAGCCTAAATGCTCATAATTCCTGTGCCTGCTACTCATCCTTCTCTCTCCAATCTTATACCTATGGCTTCATATAATCAGTTGACAGAGGAAAAGAAAACTTGGACTTAGTTTACAGATGATTCTGCACTATGTGGTAGTGCACACTACATGTCTACACTCAAAAGTAGACATTTGTACACTATACCCCTTTACTGGTACAACCTTTTAGGACAGTAGTGAAGGCAAACTCTCCCAGTGGACAAAACTTTGAGAAATGCATCTGGTTGGTTACTTTGCTGGAAGGAGAAATGGCCAGACTAGTGATTATATACTACTTCATGATCTTTGCCAGTGGTTTGACTGGATGGTCGACTGGGGAGTATCATGATAGAAAAGTTGGTGACAAGAAAATTTAGGGAACAAGTATGTAGATAGACCTCTGTTAATGAGACAACAATGTAATATTTTGTCCATGTGAATATTCACCAAAAGGTAGCATCATCAAAGGAATATTTCACTAATCAAGTGGATAGGATGAACTATTTGGTTGAAACCATTTAGCCTGTTTCCCCAGTCACTCCTCTCATTGCCCGTGAACAAAGTGGCCATAATTGTAGGGATGGAGGTTACAGATGGAATCAGCAATATGAACTTCCACTCACCAAGCCTGACTTGATTGCTCAGTCTACCAGTAGCAGAGGACAACATTGAGACCCTGATATGGTGCCATTCCCTGGAGTAAGCAACTGGCTGCCTGAGGGCAGGCTGATTACATTGGACGAATTTCATCATGGAAGTAGCAGTATTTTGTTCTTATAGTAATAGACACTTACTATGAATATGGATTTCCTTCCCTGCATGCAGTGCTTCTTTCCAAACTACCATGACAGGCTTACAAATGCCTTATACACTATCACAGTATACCACACATCATTGCTTGTAATCAAATAATTTACTTCCTAGCAATGGATGTCAGCAGTGGGCCCATGCTTATGGGATCCAATGGTCTTACCATATTCTCCACGACCCAGAAGCAATTGGATTGATAGAATGGTGGAATCGCCTATTAAAAACTCTGCTGCAGCACCAGCTAGGTGGCAATATCTTGCAGAACTGCGACAAATTCTCCAGAAGGCTGTATGTGTTCTGAATCAGCATTCAATATACGGTGCTGTTTTTACCATAGCAGAATTTATGGCTCCAGGAACCAAGGAGTGTAAATGAGAGTGACAGAGTTCACTATTACCTATCTGTAGTGACTCAGTAGCAAAATGGTTGCTTCCTGTTTTCATGACTTTATCATATGAGATGTACTGACTTTGTTTCATAGTATTTAATGCTAATTTTACATCATAGTATTTAAGTTAGGGGATATCGAGAAGAGTGAACATTACTCAAGGACTTTGCTTCCTCTTTCTGGGAAGGGATTAGTGCAATTTTTGGTTGTATACAGGATAGTTGTATCCTGTCAGGCAGAATTATGACCTTGCTATTGTCTTTATTTGAAAATTAAATATGGTTTTAAAAGATACATATGGGTGCCACATTGACAGGAATAAACTTATAATAGCTAATTTTATGTGTTGGTTTGACTAGGCCATGGGGTGCCCAGATATGCAGACAAATATTATTGAGTATATCTGCAAGGATATTCTAGATGAGATTGATATTTAAATTCATAGAGTGAGTAAAGCAGATTGTTCTCTCTAAAGTAGGAAGCCCTTATCCAGTCAATTGAAGACCTGAATAGCACAAAAAAGTTGATTACGGGAGGATTCCTATTGCCTGGCTATCTGAGCCGGGCCGTTGGTCTTTTCTTGCTTTTAAATTCAAACGGAAACATGGGCTTTTCTTGGGTATTGAGCTTGCCAGCTTGTGGACTGAAGCTTAAACTATCAGTTCTCCTGGTTCTCATGCCTTTGGACTCAAACTGGAACTAAACTTCAGCTTTTCTGTGTCTCCAGCTTGCCAGCTGCAGATATTGACACTTATCAGCCCCCATAATAATGTGAGCCAATTTATTGTAATGTAATGTCTCTCTCTCTCTCTCTCTCTCTCTCTCAATATTGAACATTACTCAAGGACTTTGCTTCCTTTTTCTGGGAAGGGATTGCTCTATCTGTCTCTGTCAATATTGAGTATTACTCAAGGACTTTGCTTCCTCTTTCTGGGAAGGGATTAGTGCAATTTTTGGTTGTATACAGGATAGTTGTATCCTGTCAGGCAGAATTATGACCTTGCTATTGTCTTTATTTGAAAATTAAATATGGTTTAAAAACATACATATGGATGCCACATTGACAAGGAATAAACTTATAATATTGAGAGAGAGAGAACGAGAGCACTATATACAGCTAAGATAGTCATGGAATGGACATGATGACTCTATTAGTCAATGTTATCTAGAGAAACATATGATGAGAGAGAAATGATAAGAAATTGGCTCACACCATTCTTATAGAGGCTGAGAAGTCTCAGTATCTGCAGCTGGCAAGCTAGAGACACAGGAGAGATGAAATGTAGTTGCAGTTTGAGTCCAAAGGCATGAGAAGCAGGAGAACTGGTAGAGTAAGATTCAGTCCAAAAGCTGGCAGGCTCAATACCCAAGAAAAGACAATGTTTCTATTTGAAACATTGAAAAGGAGTCCTCTTAATCAACTTTATTTGTGTTATTCACCTCTTCAATTGATTGGATAAGGGCTACCTACACTAGAGAGAACAATCTGCTTTCCTCACTCCATGAATTTAAATATTAATCTTATCTAGAACATCCTTGCAGATACACTTAATAACATTTGTGGGTATATCTGGGCACCCCATAGCCTAGTCAAATCAAAATATTAAATTAGCTATTATAAGTTCATCCTCTGTCAACGTGGCACCCATGTATCTCCTTAAACCATACTTAATTGTCAAATAAAGACAATAGCAAGGTCATAATTCTGCCTGATGTGATACAACTATCCTGTGGCAACCAAAAATGCACTAACCCCTTCCCTAGAAGAGGAAGCAAAGTCCTTGGTTGGATGAGGGCTACCTACTTTGAATATCATGGATGTGTATATATACACACTTTTTCTATTCCTCTAGATAACCTTGACTAATACAGTCATTATGTCCATACCCTGACTATCTTAGCTGAAATGGAGATTACCAGTCAACACTTGTATTGCCCCTGATTTGTTTATTCAATATACTTGCTAAAATCCAAAAAATATGAATTTACTTATTATTTGTCTACATCAAATGTAATGTAATCACTATGGGAATAAGTGCTTTGTATCTCCTTTTACATCACAGAATAGATTGCATAACATAAAAGCAATGCTCAAAAATTACATGTTAACCTAGTTTTGATTAAAACATTCTGTAGACTTCAAAAGGTTCTATTTTTGCATATATGTTCTCTGTCTTTATAAATAAATACATAATATTAACTTAAAAATAATGGATGTAATGACTTTGAAAATTCTGAGATTCACCCGATGGTAAATTATGCTAAACTCAATAAATGGCTTTCAAGCAAATATAGAATCCAGGGCACTGGCAGGAAGTATGGTCCAAAATTGTAGCCAAAAAGATAACTGTAAAATTTTCCATGTATTGCAGAAAGATCAAATGTGGTGCTTTGAAATGCCATTTAGTTAGACAAACTGTCCTCTAAAATATAAAGTATATGATACACAGATAACTCAGTCGAACAATGGAACCTGCAGGAAGCTCACAACATTGATCTACAGCCTTCTCAACAAAAGTTCAAGGAAGAGAAAAGCATATTTCTGAAAAGGTTACTGAGTTAGCCTTTGTGTATGAATCTCAGTAAGATTCACAGTAAACCTACAAAAATTTGAAGGTAAATTACATATGTAAAAATATTGATAATTTAAACTGAATAAGCCAGAGCCATTTTAAAGTGGGCTACCCGTACTTCTTCAAGGAGATAGCAGACTGAGTAAACTACTCAGACTAAAATATGTTCTATCTTTTTAAAAAAGGAGGGATATTTCAAATGATAGAACTGAGGCCAGACAGTGGAATCAAGAAATAGTCATTAATGGATAGGAGTAGGATTAAATCCTCATCAAAAAAAGAAAAAAATTAACATTTTCCCAGCTAGATTTCAGAACTCTCATTGACTGCTGACTTCTATATGTCTCCCTTTTTCCTCTATTGAATCAGAGTGCCTGTGATGATTATTCTATGCCTGTCTCATCATTTTATGATGGATGTGTGAAAGATAGGTAAGTTGTTTCTTTAGTTTCAAAGGTCTTCAAATCAAGACAAACCATACTCAAGGAGTTGTATTTGCAGCTAGACCTGATTTAAATGACAAGATTCTAGACTTCATGCTAATGCTGTAATGAGATGAAGCTTTGGTAGACTTAGGATACAATTAGAGAGGTGTGTGCATTACTCGGAGCCAGAGAGCAATCTACAATAACTGGCCTCTAAGAAGGACCCTAATGAACACCTCCTGGTATTCATTCACTGGTATAGTTTCCTCCCACAATGTACCAGCGTTCATCTATAAGACCAATGGAATATGCCAGTAGTGATGGTATGTCATTTCTAAGATGATGCTTTGTGGCACTCAAGGGTGAGCCTTCTGGGAAACATAGGGTTTTGGATTTGAAAACTTAGAAACTGAAGCAACTTTTATTCTGATAGTTTCATGCTCTCATTACTGATTCTCTCTATATATTTCTGATAATTGATTTAATTAAATATCTTCTTCTCACCATACAATTTTTTCATATTTTACTATTGATAATGATTTTAACACTACAGAAGTGGTCTATTTATCTATCTGCCTATTTATCTATGTCTCTATAAGTTCATAAATGTGTGTTGGGGGAGTGTATGTATATGTGTGCTTGTAAGTTCATGGATGAATTACAAACTTTCATATGTGCATTTCAGTTTAATCAGGAATTAGGAAATTTAATTTTGGACATTTTAACCCCTCTATTACTATGAAAAGATCCACATTTTCATTTTCATGTATTCTCTCTCTTTCTTTGTCCCTCTCTGTCACACATGCACACACACATACACAAACACACACACACACCACATTCTTAACAATTCTTCATTTGTGTAGATTTGTGTATTGCCCCCTCCTTGGTTTCGTGTCTCTAAACTATTTACTTAAACATTAAATTAGTTAATTTAATTGTGTTCCCCCTCTATAATTTCCATATACAGTTTACCTTTGAACAACATAGGTTTGAACTGCATGGGTTCACAGATACATGGATTTTCTTCTGCCTTTGCCATCCCTGAGACAGCAAGATCAATCCCTCCTTTTCTTGTGCCTCAGCCTACTCAGTGTGAAGATGATGAGGATGAAGACCTTTATGATGATCTATTTCCACTTAGTGAATAGTGAAGATCTTATAATTCTCTTAATAACATTTTGTCTAGCTTACTTTATTGTGAGAATGAAGTGTATAATACATATAACGTACACAACATATGTTAATTAATTGTTTATGTTATTGGAAAGACTTCTGATCAACAGTAGGCTATTATTATATTAACAGCAGTTGAAGTCAAAAGTGATACAGTGATTTTTGACTTCATAGGGATCAGCACCCAAACCACTGTGTTGTTCAAGGGTTAACTGAAAATGCAGTGGATTGCATGAGCATAAGATAATAATGAGATCTTATTACTTTCCAGTTGAGATAGGTGAATTTAAATTCTTCATAATATCTGCTGTCGATACATTTTCTCAGTAAAGTTTTATATCAAATAAGTTCCATGTTTTATTTCACATTTTTACCTCAGTTTCTAAATGTGTCATTATTACATTGGATTTAAAAGCAAAATCCATTATAATCTGTTCTAACAAGATCATTTTTTGGTAGTCTCTTAAACTTCATATTGGGAGATTACACTCCTTGAGGATAAGATTCATATTGTAACAATTTTCTATAACTTCCACAATGTTTTGCAGATTCAATAAGTATTTAATAAATTGAATTAAATTTGCCTATACTCTTACAAATCATACTCTCATAAATCAACCTTCTAATCTTCAATTCCTCTAAAACATAGAAAAAATTGTCAATGTAAAAAAGCAAGAAATAAGATATTAACCATTTTTGTCATTCAAAATACGATTCATTCTTTCTTATACAGCTACCTTTGTCAGCATTCTTGCCATTGGACTGTCTAGCCCTTGAGTCTGTTATATCATTGCTTATTGTTACAGAAGGTAAAGTTTGGAAAAAAGAAGCAGTTATGTAAAGCAATATTAGAAAATCCCTGAGTTTCCCTTAGAATCTTGTGTCTTTTACATGTTTTTTATTTCACATAGATTAAGTTTGCAGAGTTGTGTTATAATTTCATGGGTGTATATGTCAGAGAGCCCTTTGAAGGCCTATTTAATCCAATTAAGACTATGTTTTCTTGTTTTAATACCATTAAACTTTTTCTCTCTCTGATAATAATTGAGGAAAAAGAGAAAGGCATTCCATATAATACATCAGATGCCTAAGTGCTTTGGATAGTCATAAGCCTTTTCTCGTATAGCTTCCTAATTAGAAATGCCTGCTCTTCAGAGTTTTCTTAAGCTTTCCAACTTGCTCCTCCCATTTTATAAGAATAATAGTCTATTTAGGAAGACTATTATCAAATAAAAATCAGAATGATCAGTGGACACCTATTTTAAGCCTTGGGATTTATATCATAATTCCCTAAGACTTTATATTTCCAGAAAAGAAATTCAAACTAAAAGTCACAATTACTATTATTATGATAATCCTGATAATATATGCATTTTCACTAAAAGAAGTTCCCACTTTTTTTTTCTTCTCTCTACTTTTCAATAATCCTTGGGACCTTAGTAGGAATGTGCAATACTCTTATGGTATATTTTTAGTTTAAAAGTCTGAGTATATCTAATTACCACTTGGTAGATATTGTCCAAATTCGCTTTTGAATCCAAGTGTTTTTACCCTCATAGATTTTTTTTTAAAAGGAGTATTTGCTTGTTTCTATTATACTGTAACTATTGGAGCTACTAGGAGGCCTTTTAAATTTCACCAACAAGTAGGCAGAATGGGGACTAACTGAAGGGTTGATGGACTTAAAGAAAATAAATAACCTAACAAAGCCACAGGCTAATGGCAAAACCAACATTAGGAACCAAGTCACTTTACTTGGGATTAGTGGATACCAAAATGTGCTTTCTCTGAAGCAGCACTTTATAAGGAAATATGAAAATCCACCTTTGTTGTCCTTCAGCTAAAGGGAATAAAATCGTGTGCTTTCTGTAATTTTAACCTTGTTATAACAGATGCTACATGAACTCAAGTGGAACTCTGACTACCTTGAGAGCTGAATAAAATGCATCCCACCATCCAGTGCTTCTGCATCAGGGTATTAAAAAGAGAGACAGAAGGAAGAGACGAGAGAGGCACAAGTTCAGCAGTGTGAGGGACTTGGACACAATAGGAGAGAGAAAGAAATAAATGTCTGAATGTCATTGAAAGAACAGACAATGAAGGCATATGTAAGAGGCCTGCTAAAGCTATGGGACCTCAGAAGCCTATTTGTAAGAAATACAATTTAGAATAGGGAACTTGCAATACAGTGCCTGACCTTTATTTCCTTTCCTGCCTCGAATTTGTCAAAACCTTTGATCGATTTTTCTATGAACATGAATTACTGCTACAATATTTAGTTGAACTACATGAATTTCTCAAAGCAGTAATGCAGTGCCATAGCATAGCTTAACATTGTTTAAGTAATATGGTTTGCTTATATTTAAGTCATTTCTAAGGGGCCTATGCAAACACGGTCTGGAGATCTATTTATGGTGTATTTACAAGGCTAAGAACAAAAATGCTATGAATGCATGAACAGTCAAAAAGCCATGCATTGTGTTACAGGGACTTCTATTTCTAAAGATGATTGTTGCATGAGGGTCTCTGCCTTTATGAAGGGAAATGTGTAGATTTCAACTAGCTCTGTATTATAATGTTTGTGTTTTGAAAAAGAAAATCATGTTTCTGCACTAAAAAATAAATTCCTAATCAAACCTTTAAAATTAACATTTAGAACAGGGACAGAAACTTCTTTTGTTTCCTAAGTGTTTTGTTGTTCTTGCTGTTTAGTTTTAAATAATTTTTTAGAAGTTTTATTGAGATATAATTGATAGAAAAAATTGTACACCTTTAATATATTCACCTTGATGAGTTTGGACATGTGTGCATACAACAATACCATCATCACAACCAGGGTACTGAACATACTTATTCACCTCCAAAAATTTTCTTTTGTTCTTTTTTAGTGGTGGTAGTATATTTTTAAGAATTCAGCCTTTGAGTAGGGTACTAAGGACCTTCAACAACAAATGGGAAAGTAAATGTACTAAGTCCATGTAAAGGGTTAGATCTTAGTGAGATATTCAAATTATGACCAAATCCTCAAGAGGCTTGTAAACTGACTGTGGGTTTCCAGTTTGATTATCCACAGATAAGCCTTCATTTGCTCATTCACCTATTCATTCATATATCCATTCATTCATTCTCAAGAAGAGGTATTTGTCCATATCTCACCATGTGGATGAGCAGGTGGTCAGTTCTCACTTCTTTTGCCATTAAGTGTGCTAAAATGCTCACCCTTGAACTCCAGGATGATATTTTCTCTCACTTTGCTTCATTACCAAAGTGGCTATCAAGATTCCCTCCCCTACCTTCTTTTTCTTTTTTTAATGTTTAAGAGCTGGAGTTAATTTCTTGACTTCTATAGTGGCACATGCAGATATATACCACTCAAGGCCTGTTGGATTAAAGTGTTAAATATGTCAACTAGCTAATGTTTTCTCAGAACCAGACAAATTAAACAGATGGAATTATTGAAATTATTTCAAAAGATAAACAATCATAGAATGGAAATAAACTACAGAAAGTAGGGGACTTGAGTAACTAAATCTCCTGGAAACATTTACAGCAGATGGTAAAGTATCCAGTCTCATTGTTATAAATGGATTTCAAAGGATCTCAGAGCAGCTTTACAAAATTTTACTGCACTAACAAATGGCAGCCAACCTCTGTAGTGAACACAAAATACTCTACCATACTTTCTACCTCCTTAAATTAAGACAATTTCTGCTTACACAGAAAATCTGTCTGTGGAAAACACTGCTGAGAATATGCAAGCACTTTAATCTGGAAGCCACAAGAGAAGCTTGCTTCAGAAAACTTCTTAATATTTTTCTTGTGAGTTATTCTCTTTACGCTTTTCACATTACAATATTACCAAGTTATCATAGTGTATTTTCTTTACTCCCACAGCAAGATAAGACTCTAGTTGTTGCTGGGAACTATGCATTGTGTAAATATGGGTTCACATTCTCCCTCAGTGCTTCTGGAATCATATACACAAATGAGATCACTGCTGTCAGATCACTGGGATTAAGACTCAACCTCTCTACTCACTGGCCATGTAAATATAGATACAGTACTCAGATTCTCTGAGGCTTAGCTAATTATCAGTTGATTTGGTCTACACTTACCACATTAACTATTTGAAAGGACTCATTGATATAACATGTGCTGAGAACAGTTCCTGACTCATAATCATTATTAAGGCAATATATAGCAATATGTGACTTTAAAACAGATACTACTATTACATAATAATTCATACTATACATTCAATATTTAAACAACAGGATTATAATTTTGTGAAGTAAATTTTGTACTCGAACAGAAAATCTAATTCTATAATTATTTTCTGCAATATGGGTCATAGAACCAACAGAATATATTACTGGGTTCGATGTATGTATTTACTTATGCAATTAGTAATAAAATTCTTCACTCATTCCTAGATTTGAATCCCAGGTGCTCTGTGTAGCAGCTGTATAGTCTTGGACAAGTTGCTTAATCTCTGTACCTCGATTTCCTCATTTGTACTTCAATTTTCTTATGTGGTAAATATAAAATTACTTAACTCAGAGCTATGAGGTCAGTTTTATCTGAGAGAATCCAGAAAAAATACTTAGCACACATTTCCTAGCATTCAACATGCATAATAGGTACTCAAAGAAATTTCAGATCTCTATATATGATTAATATTTGAGTAATATATTAAATAAACTGACTATAATGTCTGAAAATGCATGTCTTTATGTGACTGTACCTCTCATTGCACTCGGCACAGTGTTGTGAATGTATTTGTCATTTGTATGCTCTTTCTACCATACAATTCTGCCACTCCAATTAGCATACTGTATTGGAAAACAATCGAGTGCTTGCTTTATGTTTTACTAAATTTATACGGAACTACATTGACACTTCCTTGCCCTTCAGATGCTGGGACTCACTGGCTGCTTTCTAGTTCTCAGGAGTCTCTATGTGACTCTGTCCTTTACACTTGCCCTACATCATCACCCTCAGCCCTAGACAAAGTCAACATCGTTTTTAAAAACCTTCAAATATGTCTGCAGTTCACTGTATGAATATTCTCATTCTATCAAAACCCTGGACCTCACTAACTCAATGGAGCAATGTAGGATGATAAAGTAGTTTATATGAAAGTCATAGCAAGCTTGCTTTGGTTATTCATCCAAACGTATGTTTTTAAAGGATGAAGCTTTTATCTGAAACAAATAAAATTATAATTTGAAATTTCAAATAATGTGACTAATAGATTATGAATTCATTTCCAAATATAGAAATAATTAAAACACTTGGGGCTGTAGAAAAAGTGAGTGCTGTATCTATTATTTTCTTATATTAATTTTACCCTAGCTGCCAGAATTTAGTATTTTCAATATCAACTGAGAGATTTAAGGCTATTATAATTTTCCCATTTTGATTTTCCTCTTCTATTTATAACTCACTTAAAGTAATTTGATAGTATACTCTGTGATGTGTCCCCATATATCAAACATCTAAAAAATATATTTGGAACCAAAGCAAAGATATATTTTACTACTACCACAGAGGTATAACCTGCTACTATTTCTTGATCAGAAGTAAACAAGTTGACTTCAAAGCAGTTGATCTAATTTTCTTCCCCATTCATTCAATGGTATTTTTGATTATTACAGAATATATTGAATTAGATAATGATAAATCCTTTTCTTTTTCTGTTTTTTTTTTTTTTTTTTTTTTTTTTTTTTTTTCAGAAATGGTTTGTCTCTCTTGCTGAGGCTGGAGTGCAGTGGCACTATCTCGACTCACTGCAGCCTCTGCATCCTGGGCTCAAGAAATCCTTCTCCCTCAGCCTCCAGTGTAGCTGGGACTACAGGTGAGCATCACCATGTCCACCTATATAATTTTTGTATTTTTTTTTTTTTTTTTTGTAGAGACGAGGTTTCACTGTGTTGCCTAGGTTGGTCTCAAACTCCTGGGCTCACACCATCCTCCCCCATCAGCCTCCCAAAATTCTGGGATTATAGGTGTAAGCCACTGCACCCGGCTGAGAAGGCTTTTTATTATAGGCTGTTCCTATTGTTTTATTTATTTGGTTTGCTTGTTGGTTTTCAAGGTAAGATTGACATATAAGGTGGCATAATGTTTAAAGGTCAAGTTATAGAGATAGCTAGATTGAAGTTCAAATCCAGAGCCAAGTTACTTAGACTCTTTTTTCCTTTATAAAATAAAGTGGATAGCCACTTCATAGATTTGTTATAAGAATTAATATGATCATGCTGTCACACAGTTGCAAAGAGATACTAAAACTTGGCTCTGCCAAAAATATTAGCTATTGCCATTAGGATTGTTCCCCTAAATACCTAAGGCATTTGCTGACAATTGGGTTACTCATCATGTCCTTCCAGGAAAAAAATTTAAAATGTTTAAAACTTAGGAACTACTTTTAAAATTTAATTTTCAGACCTGACATAACACCGCTGAGGAAGAGAGATGGTAGCTGATTGGGGATAGATGTAGAGATCATTAATGGTATAAGAGTGTGAGAATATGAAGCATGATAGGATATGATATTACTCATACAGATTGCAAATACATGTCAAAATTATATTTATCATTCATTTAAGTAAAATTCAACATTGTTTTATTCAAAAAATAAATGACACCTTTCACTCTACCTATTTAACTCTGGAAAATTTTACAAATTGAGCATGCCATTTTTTAGTATGAATTCCTTTATATCAGCTACATTGCTAACTTTGCCTTTGGCATTATGAGCAGAAAAAAAAAAGAAACAATATAATTAGTTCTGGAATATGAAAAGTGTCCAAGAAGAAGAGTAGTCTTGAGAAGTAGGGAACAGGATGAAGTCATTAGGGGACAGAAGGACAGAAGGGTAGGAGGGAGTGGGACCAGACAAGCACTGAACTCTGCATGCACACGTAGCAGTCTAAAATAGTCATCCAGCACACAGACTCTAGGTGAAGATAACCAAGATGAATTGCAACTTCTCCACAAGCAACATGACTTTGGATAAGGTATTTAACTTTTCTGTGTCTTAGTTTCTTCAACTGATAAATAAAAATGATGGTCATATCTACTTCATAAAATTGTGATAACTAAACTGATTAATACGTGTAATGAATAGTGTGTGGCATTTAGCTTAATAATGAAACATTTCATGAAAATATTAGCTACTTTTGTTAGCTAGCAACTCACAATTTCGCCTAAAGCTGACCCCATATCTAGGGTTAGGTTTTGAAAGAAATTCATCGTCATCAGAAGTAGGTCTGGAAGTTATAAAGGAAAGCTTAAAGAAACAGAAATATGTGCAACACCTACGTACAAAGAATCCATTTGAAAGCCCCCACTGAGCCCAGGGAGATGGCACATGTCCCCTTTGGGCATGTAATTCGGTTTCCTGAGGGTCAGTGTACTGTCTTTGTTACAACGGTCCCAAGGCAAACTTTTTAATAATTGTGATCCCACTCAATAGTCATGTTCACTTACTTTATAGGTACATTTGTGGCATATTTTAAAATGTGAAGTTGAGTGCATTTCACTTAAAAACCAACGGCATTTAATGAAAACATGTTATAGAGGAAAAATTATTGATTTTTGTAAATAGGTAGATCTTGTTTGTATTCTAGCTCCACAGCTTACTAATTTTGTGATATGGGCAATTTATATCCTATCTGAGCCTGTGTTTCCTCTACAATATGAGATAATTTCTACTTTGAAGTATTGTTATGAGGGTTAAATATAAATTACTTTCTGGTTTATGGTGTTGGTGTATACTACTTCCATACATGATAGTTAATTTTATGAATAAGACTTTAACAGTAAGCCGTAGAAAAATATAATGTAAGACTGATCCTTAGAATCTATCAAAACAGGTTGTAAAAATGACTTAAGGAAACATCTAGCATGGCAGTGACTAACATTTTGAAAAGCTTTATTTTTCCGTTGAGAACCATAGCCCAACACAGTGTCTGTGCTTCAGTGTTCCTCTTGTCAGGAAGGATAATATCTGTGATGCATCGACTAACTCTAATGAAAATTTTTATTCTTAAGAACAAAATATTTCCCAGCACAGTACATAAGGTCTTTGTGCTCATGTCAGCATTGGAGATAAATCTCTGGGAAAGAAGTAGAGAAACTGCTCATTTCTATAGACATCAAAACACCAAAGTAAAAGTGAAAATAAAGGAACACAGCAGACTTTTTCTTTTTAAATGCCTAAACTGAAAACTATATCTACCAGGAAACATCCAACTCACGAATTACTTTAAATATGTTTTTAAAGCAGTTTGCTTGCTTTATAACAACAGATTCATGCTATTTACTTGATGTTCCCCAGTGGTTGCTTTGTGGAGCTCAGTACCATCCTTGGAGACCATGGGCAATAAAAAGCATTTCTTCTGCACCAGTAAGACAAAAACAAACTGACTACTTCTCACATAAGCCTTGGAGGGCTTCCCTCAGTGGGCTTAGTGATCAGCAAATCATGTCAAATAAGCCTTTTTGTTATTTTTGTCGTAATAGTGTTCCTGGCAGGCAGTACTTAAGAATTCCCAGATTCTTAACTTTAACATAAATTCAATATACTCTCTTTTATTAAAAGTCAGGCTGTTGATTCACAGTAGTTCTTAGGTCTACGTTTCATTTTACACATATATGTGGATGTAATAGCTTTTTCCTTAGAACTCTTAAAAAACCGAATTCAGTAAAAGTCCTCTATTTATATTTTCTATGTGCCAACAACAGATAACCATCATTAATGTGAGCCAAATTTGAATTGAGGAGCTGAAATTAGGAGGAATTGAAAAACACCTGAAGTAAATATTCAAGTAATGAAAGTTACTTTAGAATTAGTGTATCAAAAATGGGAAAATTGGCTGGGCACAGTGGCTCACACCTGTAATCCCAGCACTTTGGGAGGCTGAGGCATGCAGATCACCTGAGGTCAGGAGTTCGAGACCTGCCTGGCCAAGATGGTGAAACCCTGTCTCTACTAAAAATACAAAAATTAGCCGGGCATGATGACACTTGCCTGTGGTCCCAGCTACTCGGGAGGCTGAGGCAGGAGAATCGCTTGAACTTGGCAGGCAGAGGTTGCAGTAAGCCGAGATCACGCCACTGCACCCCAACCTGGGCAACAGAGTGGGACTCCATGAAAAAATAAGTAAATAAATAAATAAATAAAAATTTTAAAAAGCCATATCTTTATTTTTTAAAAATTAATAATTTCAAAATGTATACATGTGAAATCTAACTGGGAATACTTTGTATCTACTTATAGCCCAAGATTAATTTTATTCTCAATTACTAGGAGATTTGCACAGCAGAGTGCATATTTACTTTAATCTGTATGACTAAAAGCCTCATTGTCAATGTGACTATGTCATCAATATCACATTCATGAATCTCCTGATTATAACCTGCACAGATGGTCTATCTACAGGGCTCTGGGATAAGAAACTTACTGTCTGTCTACAGAGGAAGCCATTTTCACTTCCAGATAGTTCTGAATATCTGAAAGTACTTGCTGATTTAGAGTCAAATTATGTCTTGCAGTAACATCCATAATTCCTGAACTTAACATTTGAGATAAACCAAGATTAGACTAAACCATGCCTTCAAATGACAGACTCTCAAAAATGTGATGCCATTTATCTGCCAAAACTATCCTATCTTGCCATTTTCCTCCATTCTTTAGGAAAAACATGGTCCTAGTTTTGTTAGCCACACTTGACAGTATTATTTTAAACCACTATGTCATTTGGATATCCTATATTTGAACACTCTTTAGTGTCTTCCTGTTAAAATATGCATAAAAACTGCATGTCCAGTATACTCTACCTGGAGAAAAACATAGCTCTCATTAACCTTTTCCAGACATTAAACTTGTAAGAGAAAATATTTATTTTCCTTGTAGCCAAATTACTCTGCTAAATTGTTTTGAGGCAGGATTAATAAACCTTTACTGTAAAGGGAAAGAGCCTAAGATTTTAGGTTTTGTGGGCCACATAATCTCTATACAACTATTCTTCTCTGCTGTTGCAGTGAGAAAGCATTTATAGACAATACACAAATGAATGAGTGTGTCCGTGCTGCAATAAAACTTTGTTTACAAAACCAGTCTATTGGCTGGATATGGCTTGCGGGCCATAATTTGCCAACCCTTAGTTTACAGCCTAGCTAGCTAAACACTACTTGTTGTAGTAAAATGTTGCTTTTTAAAATATATATCTCTCATCCTAGCATTGTCATTACGTGTGTGTGGTTTATTTTTAAATATGTAATATTTAAGGGTCTTTCCTATTTAGTTCTATTGACTAAAAGTTGTTTCATAATTATAATGTACAGACATTTATATAGGTTTTTTTATTTTACCATTGAACCTATTAGCTAATCTTTAGAGTTCTGTTTTATTTTTCATGTGTTTAACAGAAGAACATGTCTACAGCACTGATGAAAATGTTACCAGAATATAAACAAAAATGAAATTTTCAGGTTAAAACCATTTTATTTGTTAGTAATATATATCTATTAACCATTAAATAATTTACCAAATTATTCCATTACCTAATCCATATTGCTTCTTCTTGTCCAAAAGAATATAGTAAGGTACATTACCAAATACATACCTCTGACTTTAGTGGGCATTTAATGTATTATTAGAGGATCCTGATATCTGTATTTTTTAAAGAGATTAAACTCATCCCTGGTGATTATACTTTCTTCATCTAACACTATAATATTAACATTTGGAAAAAATGTCTAATAATTAACAGTAGATTTACAGAGTATTTTTCAATAATTTTCTAAAATTATCTGAAAAATTTGGCCAGAATCACTATAAAATTCACATCTGAGCTTATGGAAACCAACTTTATTCCACTCTAAAATGATAAAATTTATTTTTTTTTAATTTTTTTATTTTTTACAAGTGATTTTTTAATTTTTTATCTTGGCAGATGTTAAAAAACAACATTAGCAGAAACAATGACATTTGCAACAAATGAAAAATAAAGTAAATTAAGGGACTCAGAAAAGACAATGAGGGTAATTTGTTCGCAACTCTGGTTGTTGACTCACTGGGTGATTGGTGCCAAAAAGAGTAAACAACCAAATATAGTCACTGAAAACAGTAATAATCCATGAAAGAATGAAGACTTGTTCTGTGATGAATCACAGAAGTCAGTGTTACACAGAATCATTCAGAGGGTTTAATTAACCAGAAAGCCATCATTATAGAAGCTCATCTATAACAAGTCTAATGGTATGGACATTGAAGACAGCATTGTCCTGGGCTCCATTGTTGGGAAAGGCCTGGTTTCATCTAGAGTTCTACTTTTCAGATAACACCCACTTTTCATATGCCATAAGGGCTCATAGATCTTCGGTTCCCATTCTTCTCCCTGGCTTCCAAATTATCTATATAGATAGGAGGTACTGGAAAGAGAAGGTCTGAGAAATAAAACCTTAGGTTACGTTATTGAATATAGTCTGCTGAGTAAATTTCCTCAAACAACAATGAAAAAGATTTTTTCCCACTAAGAAATCCTGAAATACACCAGAATATTCATAGCTTTAAAATTCTTCCTTTTGTGTGTGTTGCAGGATGGGTAGTATATCGTCTTGCTCTTTTCACTCACTTTTACTTTTCCAGCTTAATCCTGTCCTATATCCCTCAGGTACTGCACTATGAACTCTATTCAGCCACCTACCCATGGACATCTGAGTAAAGCTCACATACTTGTACAAGAACACTTGCCCAGAATTCTCTTTTCCCCATGATAACTTGTTGAAAACATTTTCTTTTTTTATTTTATTTTATTATTATTATACTTTAAGTTTTAGGGTACATGTGCACAATGTGCAGGTTTGTTACATATGTATACATGTGCCATGTTGGTGTACTGCACCCATTAACTCGTCATTTAGCATTAGGTATATCTCCTAATGCTATCCCTCCCCCCTCCACCACCCCACAACAGTCCCCAGAGTGTGATGTTACCCTTCCTGTGTCCATGTGTTCTCATTGTTCAATTCCCACCTATAAGTGAGAACATGCGGTGTTTGGTTTTTTGCCCTTGCGATAGTTTGCTGAGAATGATGATTTCCAGTTTCATCCATGTCCCTACAAAGGACATGAACTCATCATTTTTTATGGCTGCATAGTATTCCATGGTGTATATGTGCCACATTTTCTTAATCCAGTCTATCTTTGTTGGAGATTTGGGTTGGTTCCAAGTCTTTGCTATTGTGAATAGTGCCGCAATAAACATACGTGTGCATGTGCCTTTATAGCAGCATGATTTATAGTCCTTTGGGTATATACCCAGTAATGGGATGGCTGGGTCAAATGGTATTTCTAGTTCTAGATCCCTGAGGAATCGCCACACTGACTTCCACAATGGTTGAACTAGTTTACAGTCCCACCAACAGTGTAAAAGTGTTCCTATTTCTCCACATCCTCTCCAGCACCTGTTGTTTCCTGACTTTTTAATGATTGCCATTCTAACTGGTGTGAGATGGTATCTCATTGTGGTTTTGATTTGCATTTCTCTGATGGCCAGTGATGATGAGCATTTTTTCATGTGTTTTTTGGCTGCATAAATGTCTTCCTTTGAGAAATGTCTGTTCATGTCCTTCGCCCACTTTTTGATGGGGTTGTTTGTTTTTATCTTGTAAATTTGTTTGAGTTCATTGTATATTCTGGATATTAGCCCTTTGTCAGATGAGTAGGTTGTAAAAATTTTCTCCCATTTTGTAGGTTGCCTGTTCACTCTGATGGTAGTTTCTTTTGCTGTGCAGAAGCTCTTTAGTTTAATTAGATCCCATTTGTCAATTTTGGCTTTTGTTGCCATTGCTTTTGGTGTTTTAGACGTGAAGTCCTTACCCATGCCTATGTCCTGAATGGTATTGCCTAGGTTTTCTTCTAGGGTTTTTCTGGTTTTAGGTCTAACATGTAAGTCTTTAATCCATCTTGAATTAATTTTTGTGTAAGGTGTAACGAAGGGTTCCAGTTTCAGCTTTCTATATATGGCTAGCCAGTTTTCCCAGCACCATTTATTAAATAGTGATTCCTTTCCCCATTGCTTGTTTTTGTCAGGTTTGTCAAAGATCAGATAGTTGTAGATATGCGGCATTATTTCTGAGGGCTCTGTTCTGTTCCATTGATCTATATCTCTGTTTTGGTACCAGTACCATGCTGTTTTGGTTACTGTAGCCTTGTAGTATAGTTTGAAGTCAGGTAGCGTGATGCCTCCGGCTTTGTTCTTTTGGCTTAGGATTGACTTGGCAATGTGGGCTCTTTTTTGGTTCCATATGAACTTTAAAGTAGTTTTTTCCAATTCTGTGAAGAAAGGCATTGGTAGCTTGATGGGGAAGGCATTGAATCTATAAATTACCATGGGCGGTCTGGCCATTTTCACAATATTGATTCTTCCTACCCATGAGCATGGAATGTTCTTCCATTTGTTTGTATCATCTTTTATTTCATTGAGCAGTGGTTTGTAGTTCTCCTTGAAGAGGTCCTTCACATCCCTTGTAAGTTGGATTCCCAGGTATTTTATTCTCTTTGAAGCAATTGTGAATGGGAGTTCACTCATGATTTGGCTCTCTGTTTGTCTGTTATTGGTGTATAAGAATGCTTGCGATTTTTGTACATTGATTTTGTATCCTGAAACTTTGCTGAAGATGCTTATCAGCTTAAGGAGATTTTGAGCTGAGACGATGGGGTTTTCTAGATATACAATCATGTCATCTGCAAACAGGGACAATTTGACTTCCTCTTTTCCTAATTGAATACCCTTTATTTCCTTCTCCTGCCTGATTGCCCTGGCCAGAACTTCCAACACTATGTTGAATAGGAGTGGTGAGAGCGGGCATCCCTGTCTTGTACCCATTTTCAAAGGGAATGCATCCAGTTTTTGCCCATTCAGTATGATATTGGCTGTGGGTTTGTCATAGATAGCTCTTATTATTTTGAGATACGTCCCATCAATACCTAATTTATTGAGAATTTTTAGCATTAAGGGTTGTTGAATTTTGTCAAAGGCCTTTTATGCATCTATTGAGATAATCATGTGTTTTTTGTCTTTGGTTCTGTTTATATGCTGGATTACATTTATTGATTTGCGTATGTTGAACCAGCCTTGCATCCCAGGGATGAAGCCCACTTGATCATGGTGGATAAGCTTTTTGATGTGCTGCTGGATTCGGTTTGCCAGTATTTTATTGAGGATTTTTGCATCGATGTTCATCAAGGATATTGGTCTAAAATTCTCTTTTTTGGTTGTGTATCTGCCCGGCTTTGGTATCAGGATGATGCTGGCCTCATAAAATGAGTTAGGGAGGATTCCCTCTTTTTCTATTGATTGGAATAGTTTCAGAAGGAATGGTACTAGCTCCTCCTTGTAACTCTGGTAGAATTCGGCTGTGAATCCATCTGGTCCTGGACTTTTTTTGGTTGGTGAGCTATTGATTATTGCCACAATTCCAGAGCCTGTTATTGGTCTATTCAGAGATTCAACTTCTTCCTGGTTTAGTCTTTGGAGGGTGTATGTGTCGAGGAATTTATCCATTTCTTCTAGATTTTCTAGTTTATTTGCGTAGAGGTGTTTGTAGTATTCTCTGATGGTAGTTTGTATCTCTGTGGGATCGGTGGTGATATCCCCTTTATCATTTGTTATTGCATCTATTTGATTCTTCTCTCTTTTATTCTTTATTAGTCTTGCTAGCAGCCTATCAATTTTGTTGATCCTTTCAAAAAACCAGCTCCTGGATTCATTAATTTTTTGAAGGGTTTTTTGTGTCTCTATTTCCTTCAGTTCTGCTCTGATTTTAGTTATTTCTTGCCTTCTGCTAGCTTTTGAATATGTTTGCTCTTGCTTTTCTAATTCTCTTAATTGTGATGTTAGGGTGTCAATTTTGGATCTTTCCTGCTTTCTCTTTTGGGCATTTAGTGCTATAAATTTCCCTCTACACACTGCTTTGAATGCGTCCCAGAGATTCTGGTATGTTGTGTCTTTGTTCTCATTGGTTTCAAAGAACATCTTTATTTCTGCCTTCATTTTGTTATGTACCCAGTAGTCATTCAGGAGCAGGTTGTTCAGTTTCCATGTAGTTGAGCGGTTTTAAGTGAGTTTCTTAATCCTGAGTTCTAGTTTGATTGCACTGTGGTCTGAGAGACAGTTTGTTATAATTTCTGTTCTTTCACATTTGCTGAGGAGTGCTTTACTTCCAACTATGTGGTCAATTTTGGAATAGGTGTGGTGTGGTGCTGAAAAAAATGTATATTCTGTTGATTTGGGATGGAGAGTTCTGTAGATGTTTATTAGGTCCGCTTGGTGCAGAGGTGAGTTCAATTCCTGGGTATCCTTGTTAACTTTCTGTCTCGTTCATCTGTCTCATGTTGACAGTGGGGTGTTAAAGTCTCCCATTATTATTGTGTGGGAGTCTAAGTCTCTTTGTAGGTCACTCAGGACTTGTTTTATGAATCTGGGTGCTCCTGTATTGGGTGCATATATATTTAGGATAATTAGTTCTTCTTTTTGAATTGATCCCTTTACCATTATGTAATGGCCTTCTTTGTCTCTTTTGATCTTTGTTGGTTTAAAGTCTGTTTTATCAGAGACTAGGATTGCAAACCCCTGCCTTTTTTTGTTTTCCATTTGCTTGATAGATCTTCCTGCATCCCTTTATTTTGAGCCTATGTGCGTCTCTGCAGATGAGATGGGTTTCCTGAATAGAGCACACTGATGGGTCTTGACTCTTTATCCAATTTGCCAGTCTGTGTCTTTTAATTGGAGCATTTAGCCCATTTACATTTGAAGTTAATATTGTTATGTGTGAATTTGATCCTGTCATTATGATGTTAGCTGGTTATTTTGCTCTTTAGTTGATGCAGTTTCTTCCTAGCCTTGATTGTCTTTACAATTTGGCATGTTTTTGCAGTGGCTGGTACCTGTTGTTCCTTTCCATGTTAAGGGCTTCCTTCAGGAGCTCTTTTAGGGCAGGCCTGGTGGTGACATAGTCTCTCAGCATTTGCTTGTCTGTAAAGTATTTTATTTCTCCTTCACTTATGAAGCTTAGTTTGTCTGGATATGAAATTCTTCGTTGAAAATTCTTTTCTTTAAGAATGTTGAACATTGGCCCCCACTCTCTTCTGGCTTGTAGAGTTTCTGCTGAGAGATCTGCTGTTAGTCTGATTGGCTTCCCTTTCTGGGTAACCCAACCTTTCTCTCTGACTGCCCTTAACATTTTTTCCTTCATTTCAACTTTGGTGAATCTGACAATTATGTATCTTGGAGTTGCTCTTCCCGAGGAGTATCTTTGTGGCATTCTCTGTATTTCCTGAATCTGAATGTTGGCCTGCCTTGCTAGATTGGGGAAGTTCTCCTGGATAATATCCTGCAGAGTGTTTTCCAACTGTGTTCCATTCTCCCCGTCACTTTCAGGTACACCAATCAGATGTAGATTTGGTCTTTTCACATAGTCCCATATTTCTTGGAGACATTGTTTGTTTCTTTTTATTCTTTTTTCTCTAAACTTCCCTTCTTGCTTCATTTCCTTCATTTCGTCTTCCATCACTGATACCCTTTCTTCCAGTTGATCGCATCAGCTCCTGAGGCTTCTGCATTCTTCACGTAGTTCTCGAGCCTTGGCTTTCAGTTCCATCAGCTCCTTTAAGCACTTCTCTGCATTGGTTATTCTAGTTATACATTGGTCCAGTTTTTTTTCAAAGTTTTTAACTTCTTTGCCATTGGTTTGAATTTCCTCCTGTAGCTCTGAGTAGTTTGATCATCTGAAGCCTTCTTCTCTCAATTCGTCAAAGTCATTCTCTGTCCAGCTTTGTTCCATTGCTGGTGAGGAACTGTGTTCCTTTGGAGGAGGAGAGGCTGTCTGCTTTTTAGAGTTTCCAGTTTTTCTGCTCTGTTTTTTCCCCATCTTTGTGGTTTTATCTACTTTTGGTCTTTGATGATGGTGTCATACAGATGGGTTTTTGGTGTAGATGTCCTTTTTGTTTGTTAGTTTTCCTTAACAGACAGGACCCTCAGCTGCAGGTCTGTTGGAGTTTGCTAGAGGTCCACTCCAGACCCTGTTTGCCTGGGTATCAGCAGCGGTGGCTGCAGAACAGCAGTGGCTGTAGAACAGTGGATTTTCGTGAACCGCAAATGCTGCTGCCTGATGGGTCCTCTGGAAGTTTTGTCTCAGAGGAGTACCCGGCTGTGTGAGGTATCAGTCTGCCCCTACTGGGGGGTGCCTCCCAGTTTGGCTGCTCAGGGGTCAGGGACCCACTTGAGACAGTCTGCCCATTCTCAGATCTCCAGCTTTGTGCTAGGAGAACCACTACTTGCTTCAAAGCTGTCAGAAAGGGACATTTAAATCTGCAGAGGTTACTGCTGTCTTTTGTTTGTCTGTGCCCTGCCCCCAGAGGTGGAGCCTACAGAGGCAGGCAGGCCTCCTTGAGCTGTGGTGGGCTCCACCCAGTTCGAGCTTCCTGGCTGCTTTGTTTACCTA
Organism: Homo sapiens; assembly: GCF_000001405.40. NCBI lineage: Eukaryota > Metazoa > Chordata > Mammalia > Primates > Hominidae > Homo > Homo sapiens. Next base: position 56,447,776 of record NC_000010.11, read on the forward strand.
AGCAAGCCTGGGCAATGCCAGGCGCCCCTCCCCCAGCCTCGTTGCTGCCTTGCAGTTTGATCTCAGACTGCTGAGCTAGCAATCAGCGAGACTCCATGGGCGTAGGACCCTCTGAGCTAGGTGCGGGATATAATCTCCTGGTGTGCCGTTTTTTAAGCCCGTTGGAAAAGCACAATAGTAGGGTGGGAGTGACCCGATTTTCCAGGTGCCGTCTGTCATCCCTTTCTTTGACTAGGAAAGGGAACTCCCTGACCCCTTGCACTTCCTGAGTGAGGCAATGCCTCGCCCAGCTTCGGCTCGTGCACAGTGCACTGCACCCACTGTCCTGCACCCACTGTCTGGCACTCCCTAGTGAGATGAACCCAGTACCTCAGATGGAAATGCAGAAATCACCCGTCTTCTGCATCGCTCACACTGGGAGCTGTAGACTGGAGCTGTTCCTATTTGGCCATCTTGGCTCCCTAAAAATGACAAAATTTTATATTTTTAATTTTATCTTTTAAGGTGTTTTAACATAAGGGTAGTGGAAGACCTTACTAAAGGTAGCTTAGATAGTAACAGATTTGTCATCTCAGTTAACACAAAGACCATAGATGGGGCAGATCTACAGGATGCAAAAACTTTCCTTTTTCTCACCTCATAGTAGCCATATGGCTACCACAATTCTCTGGTTTCATGTGTTTACAAAATGCCCATTAGTTAAGAATAAAAAGAAAGAGAAAGAGAGAAAGAAAGAGAAAGAAGAAGGAAAAAAAGATAGAGAAAGAAAATAATTTCTTCATGTGTCTATTTAAATTAAGAAAGACATGAATTTTCCTAGACCTCCGTGTGATGATTAATTTCATGTGTCAGTTTTACTGGGCTAAGGGTTGCCCACATAGCTGATAAAACATTATTTCTGAGAGTATCTGTGTTTCCAGAGAAATTAGCATTTGAATAGGTAGACTGAGTAAAGAAGATTATCTTCACCAATATCTATGGGCATCCTTCAATCTATTCAGAGCCCAAATAGAACAAAAAGGCAGAGGAAGGTTGAATTTAATCTGTCTTCTTGAGCCAGGACATCCATCTTCTCTTGTCCTCCAATATTGGAACACCTGGTTCTCAGGCTTTTTGGCTTAGGTTGAACTGTACCACCAACTTTCCTGGGCCTCCATCTTGCAGGCAGGAGATTGCGGAACTTCTCAGCCTCGACATCCTTGTGAGCCAATTCCTCCCAAGAATTATCTTCCTCTAGCTATCTCTATCTCTATCCTTATCTCTATCTCTATCTATATCTCTATCTCTTTCTATCTCATCTGTATCTGTATGTGTATCTGTATGTGATAGAGATACTATCTCTATCATCTGTATCTTTACCTCCTCTATCTCTATCTCTATATCTTTCTCTCTCTCTATGTGTACCTCTATGTCTACATCTATCTTAGTTATCTATCTCAGTTATGGTTCTGTTTCTCTGGAGAACCTTAACTAATATAGTTCCGTAATAGGCCTTGTCTTGCAACTCACTTGCTAGGTTACCATGATTCTAACCAAGTTCATCATTTCAAAGGAATATCAAATAATATATATATTGTTTACACTAAGACTTAGCTAGCCACCCTCCTCAAGCCAAATCTGCCCCCCCCCCTTAGTATAGCAAGGAAACTTAATGTAGATTATACATTTTTTATTCATTGAAAAAAACCCAAAGAATAACTTATCATGACATGCTAAAATTATATTAAATTTAAATTTTGATATACAAATAAAATTTTATTAGAATACAATTATATTTATTCATTTACATTTACATTCTTTGTCTATGGCTACTTTTACACTAATGCAGCAGAGTTTGTTAGTTGAGACAGAAGCTGGCCGACAAAGACCAGCATTTTTACAATATGACCCTTTACAAAAAAAAAAAAAATTGACCCTTGGTTTAGACTGACCAATAATCCTATGGGAGGATTTTATTGATTTTCATTTGTAGCCAACCAAGCACTTTTTTTTCCTTGGCTAGGATAAATTTAGAACATCTATGTCCTTCCATAAAAGTGGCCTTACATACTTGAAAGTCTGATTCTTTCATAACTATATTTTTTTCTCTGCTGTTACAATTTGAGCTCATTCTCTTCAGAGATAAAGAGCATAATGAAATAGAAACTAAGCAGTCCCATTTTTCTTTTGCCATTTATGAGAGCCTATACCACCTAGTGGTGATTTAGTGTGTATTAACAACCAGGTCACTAAGAAAAACTGCTGTATTTTAAGTTTGCTTAATTTAGTGGTGTTGATATTTCCTCTATGACCAATTTTGGCCTATGAAAATGATTTCTTTGAATGCAAAGTTGGGAGGAGATGAGCACTGTATGCTCCTATGAGGAGTTCCATCTGGCTCAAACATAAACACTATTAATATCACTTGCTCTAGACATGTGATTCTCCTTGATAATGCTTCTTGCATTACCTCAATATAAAAGTTACAATCCTTATTATTTTTGAAAAACTCAATTTGTATAGGACTCTTGATAATATTTTAATGTGTATATATTTTATAATGATTTTTATTGATATTATTGTTTCTTCTTTTATACATTTTTTGTTATCCTTTTTATTTATATAGTCAGTTTCCACATTAAATGGGAGAAAAACTGATATTGCTCAATTCACAGTGGAAATTCTGTGTGCCAGATATCATATCATATTTCTTTTAATGCTCTAAACAATGTTGTGAGGTAAGTGTTATCTCTGATTTGCACATGAAGAAACATATTCCCAGATTAATAAATTTCCCAGTTTCACACAGGGAATAAATTGGAGCACAGGAGTTCTAAATAGATAGACCTGTATGACTTCACAGAGTGAAATGCACAGATAAACAATTCACTTTCCAGGAGAAATCACAAGACAATGGATATCAGAAGAAATAATGGGACCAGGATAATATTGGTTGTTTTGTATACAAAAAACTAATTTGGGCAACAAAAAAGGATGTAGAGCCACTGAAGCAAAATATATGTTGCCAAATTTAAAAGAAAATATGCTGTTGGTAGGCCATGGCTACATTATATAAAACATTTCATTTCTCATAAAGTATTAATACTACACTATGACTATGAGTTAATATTTAAAAAATGACCACATAGGAAATAGGAGAAAAAAGTAACAACACTGTGGAAAGCAAAGAAAATGACTGCAAGATGCAGCTATCACTACCGTCTCCAGGCCACTTAGGGACCTCCTCAGAAGCTTAGATGAACAAAGAGAAGAGACTGGAGTTATCAAAATTTGTAAACTCAGAGTAAAAGCCTTCCTGAGCCGAGGCTAGACCTCTGAGGAAGAGATATGTTCCAACTGCTGCTATTACTTCTGAAGAGGCACTTTCTGGGGCTCTGAAAAAATTGGTAAACTGAAACAGTTACTGCTCCTAGGGCAAGGGGATGTTCTTGGGAGAATATCAGCAAGGACAGCAAACAAACAGGAAAAGGAGATATATTCTTCCATTCTCTTGCCTTTATATGTTTCTCTAGTACCTCCCAATAGCAGAACCTAGCAGGATCCCACTTGAAGGAACTTGGAAAACGTAGCTTACTGATCTCTATCACAGCATCAAAGCAAATTTATTGCAGAGAAATGTGGCTAAAGATCAAGATTATTAGTAAATCAATTTTCTTAACTAATTTTTAATCTGTATTGATTTCTTGTAACATAAATATCTGTGATTATAGAGACCTCAGTATTTTCTTTGTCTTCTGTAGGAGCATTTCAATCTTTTTTGAAGTTCTACCTCCCTTTCACTTCTAGTTCACACCATGTGAGAGCAATTGACCTAATCATCATGGGCAGTGGTTATGATATGTCTCAACTTGTCCATTAACCATATGGTTCATTTGGTAATATGCTCATGATTTAACCTAGTCTAATGAGAAATTTAACTAGAAATTTTGTTGAAATTATTGAGTAAAACAATATTTATTTTCTGAAAAAGTAGCTTAGCTAGTAAGATATAAGCTCACTGCTACTAGTGGCCATCTTGATGTGGAACAATACCGAGAATATTTATTCAGATACTCCTTCAAGAAATGTGTGCAAAACAGAAAAGAGAAAGTTAAAACAATGAGAAACTTTTTACATACTATGTTCAGTAGAGCCTGAGGGTAGCTCTAAATCTAGATACTTAACAAGAAAACTATTGACAATAAATAATACTCATATAGCAAATACTATGTGCTAAACATTCTTTCATGTACTTTAAAAGATTAATGTATCTAATACAAGGACTCTATGAGATAGATATTATTGTCCAATTTTATATATAAGAAAACTGAAGTAAAGATAAAGTAAGTGACTTGTCCAAAGTCACATAGCTAGTTAATAACATAACTAAAATAAATGCTCTTTCCCACATTATTGTATAGTCTGATGTGTTTCAGTTATGAGAATCAATGCTTTTCATTTTAGCTTATGACCACTGAGTTTTGCTGTATTTGTTTTTTACATCCTGCAAATAAAATGCCCTGACAAATTATATTCTCTCAGACAATCATCTTTCTTTCATATGCAATCAACATTTTATATGTATTCACTTATTTTGTATCACTCCTTTGATTTTTCAAAATTTATTTAGGGGTATATAAATATTTTGCTACTACTGGAATTAGCAAAAATTTAAGGTTAAATTTTCAAACATGTCATTGCCCTCGTCATACTGTAGCAAGAATTAGTAATCAATGATACACTAAGGATTAAAGTCAACTCCTAGAAAAATCTCATAGTTAAAATATTAAATAATATTAAGTGATACAATTTGGTCCCAAGTACATATTTCTGAATAAAATATATTTTTCTTATGAAAAGTTCTACACGATTTGATAAATCGAGATATTCCATTTCCATCAGTTGAGAATATGGTTTCTTATGTTTTACTATTCTCGACACATCAAGATTTTCCCTCACATTAAGAAATGTTTCAGCACGTGCTTATTTTGTTTTTGAATATAATGGTGCATGGCTGTTTCAGCTCTCAGAATTTTTTAAGCCATTAATTTTATCTCAGGCCTTTTTTGCATACCACAGCTTCCTGCATACTAATTAGGCGTGTAAATTTCTCTTAAAATCACATTTCCTTACCAGTCCAAATCAATTCATTCTTCCCCATCATACATATTCCTTTTCTATTACCTCAGAAACAAGTTAATAAAATACTTTAGTTTTATCATTTATTTCTGATTGTAAAGTAATGATACAATAGATTTAGATCCTCATTTTAGCCATCACTAAAGCATGATCATGTAGGCTCTAAGAGTTCAATGGTTTCAATGCCTATCTCTGTCACTTGCATGGATTCCGTTAATAGAGTGGATTCAAAAGTATTCATGTAAGTTATATCAAGCACAAGCTTAGTTTTTATTTTCTATTATATTGTATGTCAACTATGAAAATTTGGTGAGGACAGTACTTTCATATCAAAGGTACCACTATGAAGAGATGCAATTTGAATCCCAGGGATGAGACAGGAAGCTACCAGGACATGGTCACTCCATACTGTTCTCAAAATATTTACATCCCTACCCTGTATTCCATCACATACTTTATTCCCCATTGCCAAGATTTTATATATCAGTGAAAACAGTATGCTCTTTTCCCAGTATCACCCAGGGAATCTTGGGCTCCTCAGTCAAAAAGTACTTTGAAGTCTCAGTATAGATTAAAGAGTGAATAAATGATCGTGCCTCTATTCTAAGATTCCACTAAAATGAAAGTAAATATATAAAAATAGTATAATCTTCATTTCAGAAGAGAATGGAAGGGAAACATCAATAGAGTAAGATTTTGGTAAATATCTGATAGGCAGAAAGAATAGTGATACCCAATAAAGCAGTCCAGAGGAATGCTTAGCCTAGAGTATATGTTAAGTAGAATATAATTAAAAAGGATCAAGTAAAAAAACCTAGAGTGTCTTCTCAGCCAATAGCTAGCTAATAAACAGAGTAGGAATTAAAATTTAAATTTGAGGCTGCACAAACCACCATGGCACACGTTTACCTATGTAACAAACCAGCACATCCTTTACATGTACCACTGAACTTAAAAGTTGGAAAAAAATTAAAAATAAAAATAAGTAAATACAACTATATATAGAAGATATAAAGGAATATATATATATATACACACATACATACATACATATACACACACCCACACACATACACACACACATAAATACATACTAAAATGCTAGAATTTCTGCATACCTGGCTGGATAAAAAGAAGTGCAAAGTCTTCTAATTTCTGGCAGTTGGTAGCCCTCATCATTAGTGAAGCTGAAACAATAAAAAGCTCCAGACTGAATATAGAGTTGTCAACTATCTTTTTCTCTCCACAAACAAACAACAAAACTTGGTGGAAAAAAGTCTCTAAACTGAATTGTATACACAGAAACATCTGAATGTATATTTAATCTATAAAGCAAGAATTGGGTGTTAAGAAGAAAAAAATAACTGAACACAAAGAACTTTCCAGAAACTGTAAAAATTGCATTAAAATATTTCAAAAACAGTAATAGAAAACAGTATCATTAAAAAGTAGAAAATCATAAGAAATATAAATGAAAGATCAATTCAGAGGGTTCAATGTAACACTAAAAAGTGTTATTTGGAAAACAGAAAATATAAGTAAAAATCATAACAAAAATACATGAAATTACTAAAACTAAAGTGCATGAGTTTTCAGACTGAATATGTCCCTCAAATGATCAAGACAAAAACTCCTACCCAATCAAAAATTTGAGAAATTACAGAATATTAAGCATAAAAAGAAGCCCCTGAACACTTCCAGAGAGAAAAACCAGGAATTTCACCTTGAACTTAAATAATTTTTGACTAAGTTTAGATGGACTGAACTTCTCATAAGAATAACTAAATAGTCTGGATAGATTAAAATATACGTATATTCTGTGTGCTAAATGAATAGCAGAGTGTTAAGTCAGTAAGGAAATGGCATTACAACCCACAGAGATAGGTAAAACTTGAGGAGGCATTTTACAAAAGAAGAAACACAGATGGCAATGAACATATAAAAGGAGGCTCCACTTCACAGATAATTAAGAACTTAATATTACAAATCCAGTAATTTAAAAATATGAGTGCATACTCTTCAATATTCCTCCCATTGAAAGCTATCTATATTCCTACTCTTCCATCTGGCTGGTTTCTGATTGATGCAATAGAATATGACAAAAGCGATGCTATGTATTTTCTAGGCTAGGTAATAAAATGCCAGGAAGTTTTCACTTTGTTTACTGATAATACTAGCTTTCAGAGCCTTTAGCCTTCATGTAAGAAGTCAGAGTAAACCTGAGAGTACCATGCTGTGAGGAATTCCACACAAAGGAAAGAACACTCAAAGGCACTCTGGCCAACTCCCAACTGTGCCTAACATTTGTGTTATTTCAGCACAGATGCCTTACATGTGTGTGAAGAAATGTTCACATGATTCTAGCCCCAAGGTGTTCAATTCATGGTAGACTCATTGAGTCTTTTCAGCTGAGTTTTGTGGAGCAGAGATAAGACATCCCCAATGTGCTCTAAATTCCTGGACCCCAAATGTTTGAGCATAAGAAAATAATTATTGATATATGATGCTAAACTTTGGAGTGGTTTGCTTTGAACTGACAAATAGAACAGAATTTGGTAACTGAAAGAACTTTGCTGCCAAAACAAAATGTAAAACATAGAGTGCTGATTATTGGATTGAGCCTCAGTGAAGCATAATGAAGCTTAAGGAGGCTGTTGGTAAAGGTCTGAAGCAAAATGTAGAAAGTAACTATGGAATTCTAGAGAAAAGGGAGCCCTTGTCAAGTAGTGGAAGGCATTCATTTGTGGTGATGTGGAAAATAAGAAAAGGTACAGTAGTGTGTTGGTATCCATGGGAGATTGTTTCAAGGTATCCCCCACCATGTGGATACCAAAAACCTGCTGATGCGAAGTCCCTTATATAAAATAGTGTAGTATTTGTGCATAATCTGTGCATATCCTCCGTATACTTTAAATCATTTTTAGGTTGCTTATAATACCTAACACAATTAAAATGCTATGTAAATAGTTATTATACTATATTGCTTAGGGAATAATGAAAAGAAAATATTTGTACATGTTCAGTGCAGACACAATCATCCACTTTTTTTCTCAATATTTTTGTTCCATGTTTGGTTGAACCTATGTATGTGGAACCTGTAAATATAGAGGGTCGACTGTACCTAATAATGTTGCTGACTTAGCTAAAGACATTTTTGAGCAGAATGTTGGAAATGCAATCTGGTTTATTCTATCTTTCTACAATAAAGTAAAATAATAAATTAAATTAAAAAGTATTTATATTTCAGGTAGAATTTAGAGAAAAAATATATAGCACCCAGAACAGTTAGCAATTAAAGGTTTCTCAAAGTAAGAAAGGGCAGTAGAATTCTTAATTGCCATTAATGAGAGGATCAAAGACTGTATAGTGCACACTCGTTAATTGTAATTAATTTTTCAAGTGGCAATCAAAAAATTCTCAGTCTCACGCAAACTGAGTATTAATTAATACTCAGTTTCAGACAATGTTATATCTGGCTTTGCCTAATGTTATAATGTATTTTTTGAAAAATTTTATAGCTCTAAGCCACCAGAGCAGGTTTCCATTTTGAGAGCCCAGCCCCTACCATACCGCATCCTGCCCTGGGGCCCAGTAGCCTCTGAATCGCCACATTCCTGGAGTCCCACTGACATCATCCTCCTAAGCTGGCACCACTGCTGGCCACTGCCACTCAGGCCAAAGTACAAGCCACTGGCAATGACTCTGCTGCTCCCAGCAGTGTAGCCACCACACATTTATAAGCACCCTGAGGACAGGCTACTTTGCCCACAGCTGCCATCTGGGACCAAAGCACCCTATGCCTATTCCTATGGCTGCTGTCACTAAAAGCTATTCCACCCTTCCTAGTAGCAGGACAAAAGCACAGCCACTGCATTCCCAACCTGAGTATTTCACCAGGAGCCTAGGACTACCATGCCCATAACTACAGCATGGGTAGCACCTGCAAGGAGGCCTGAAAACTGATCCATCTGGCCCAGTTTTGCTCCCCAACACTGGTTCCCACACATGCTGTCTGGGGGACTGGGAATAGCCCAGCCATGTCTAGCATCATTGGCACATGAGAAATCCTCCTGGATCCAAAAGGTTGAGCCCATCCAACCTGGCAATACCACCACAGCTGGAACCAACCCAAATGTACCACATATGGGCCTGCATACTGGCCTAATCCTCTTGTTGCAGCCACCACTAACATCAGTTTGAATTGCATGGAAGCCAGAGGGTTGTCCCACCACTGCTACTGACAGCCTTTATACCATGCCCACTGCCCAAGAATCCAACTACCCACTCAACAGCCCAGCCCAACACTGCCACTACTGGCACCCTTGCAAGCCTCCTTACTGTCCAAGGAGGGACCCACCTAATCGTATTACAACTGTGCCAGTGTATGCCACCATACAGCACAAGGAAAGTCACATTCAACCTGCTGCTGCCATCACTGGGACCCAATGACTGGCCCATCTGGCATCCTCATCCCCAGGAAAACTTCACCACAGCCTCCACTAATAACCATAACATAAGGCGATGAATACATCACATACACCACTGATGCTCTTTACAGCTGAAGAAATCATGCAGAGACTACATTACTGCACATACACAGACTCAAAGCCAAAGGGCCCTAACCAGCCAACATGGTACATACAGCCTCAGTGAAAAATGCTTCACAATGAAGCAGGTTCTGAAAATTGAAAGAAGCGATTGTTACAACAGATATGCATATATCAACATAAGGACACAAGAAAAAGTTAAAAAGCAAGAAAATATGACACCTCCAAAGAACACAATAATTTTCCAGCATAAAGAAAATTGATAAGGTTCAGTGAAAATAAACCTTATGAAATCTCAGAATGAGAATTCAGAATCATGATATTCAAAAAGTTTAGTGAGATACAAGAGAACAAGGACAAACAATACAAACAAATGAGAAAAACAATTCAGGTTATTGAAAAATTACCAAAGAGATAGATATCACACACACAAAAAAGAACCAAACCGAACTTCTGGAACTGAAGAATTCCTTGAATGAAATACAAAGTATATTCAAAAGCATTAATAATAGACTAAATCAAGTAGAGAAGAAAATATCAGAATTTGAAGGCATGCCTTTTGAAATAACCCAGTCATTAACAATTTTTTTAAAAAAAGGAAAGAAAATATGAACATAGCCTATGGGATATATGTGGCACCATAAAGTGGCCAAATGTTACAGGTTTTGGTTTCCCAAAAAGCAAAGCAAACATGGAAGGCATAGACAAGTTATTCAATGAAATAATCCCTGAAAACTTCCCAAGCCTATCATTACATTTAGATATCCCACTTACATGTGGGAGCTAAAAAAGTTAATCTCATGAAGATAAAGAGGTGAATGATAGATATCAGAGGTTGGGAAGGGTGTGTGGAGGGGGTGATGAAGAGATGTTATTTAGTGGGTACAAACATGTTGTTAGATAGAAGAAATAATTTCAAATGTTCGATAACACAGTAGGATGACTATTGTTAACAACAATGTATTGTATATTTCAAAATAGCTATAAGAGGGAACTTGAAATGTTCCCAACACATGGAAATGATGAAATCCCTGGAGGTGATGGATACCCCAAATACTCTGACTCGATGATTATACATTCTATGCATGTAACAAAATATCATATATAAGCATGCGTACTTATAAGTATGCATAAATATTATGTATCATGTAAAAAAATTAAAAAGTTATCACTTATAATATAGATGACCAAATACAAAATAAATGTAGATAAAATCTAAGAAATATATTTAAATATAAGAAAACTAAAAGAATTACATGTAGGTGAATATTTGGTTAAACAGTTAAAAAAAGAAGAAGTAGGAGGAGGGGGAAAATAAGGTAAAGATGGTTGTAGAGGAGGAAGAGGAGGAGAAGGAGGACGTTTGCTTTACTTAAACAGGAAAATGATAAACTATCATAAAACTATCATAAGTTGTGCACTTATTTCAATCAAGTGCTGTTTTAGGCATTTTAACATATGGTATATTTAATATTAACATTAATCCAAACAGTGCATATTCTTAGTCAACATTTTATGGAATTAATTTTTCCATGGCCATCTCTATAATAAGTGGTGAAGCCAATATCGGAATCTAATTTAATACTGAAAGGTCTATAGGAGTCCATTCGCCTGGGAGAGTGTGAACTTTGCCTGAGAGCTGAAATTGCAAATTTTAGTTATATTGGCTTGGGTAATAGCGTTTTGGAAGTAGTTAATTATAATAAAATAGGGTAATGGGTTGTATTTAAAATGTATACATTGTATTCGATTACATTTTAAATTATATAATTTGTATTGTAAAGAAAATATGTATCTTAATGTAGTATATGTAATTAGTTGATATAAAATGTTTTGTCATGGATTAAGTAATATTTCTCATGGTTCAAAATGTATTGAGAAAAGCAACCAAAATACAGAGAACAATGCTACAAATTACCAACAGTTGAATAAATCAATATACTCCAATTCACAACAACTCAGGAATTTAGGAATGGGTTGTGCATTAAAGAAAGGAAAAACTCAAAAAGGGAAGGACTAACATGTCTATCAAGGTGACTGTTAATAGCTTGCATGTGAATAATTTCTTAGGTAGCTCAGGGGTGTTTTCTAAGAGCAGTGTCTATAAACCAAGTACTCATGAGTCCATATGGTACAAATTAGAATTATCACATAAAAACGTCCCTTGCTTATAAATAGAGAACCTCATTATCCTAAGGGCCTTTATGAGTTGGCTTTGTTGCTACCAACAAGGCTACAAGTTGGATTACTTTTCTTTATCCTTCTATAACAAAGCAAGATGGGACCCACTGACAGGGAGCAGAATGGGGCAACAGAACATTTTAAGAAACCAAAAGAAGTAATCCCTGAGGTAATGAACCTTAGGGGGTGCACAATTGTTTTTGAACAATTAGAATTAGATTTAGCATAAATGGATTATTCCTCTGTAAAGCAGAACCAGAAACAATGTGGAATGAATAATTTCAGGGATTCAATGCTAGAAATGGCTGCATTGGGTATTATATTTTATTCATCATTGATGGAACTAAATGAAATAGAATGGTGCTTAGTCAAGAATACTTTTCAGGTAGTTTCCCCTAGGGATAAGCTTGTATCAAATGATGTTGAAGTCTCTCTCAGGTCGAAACTACTTGATACTAATCATTGTGGAAAAAGAGCAGTAAAAAAAAATTCAATATGTAATAATTAGCTGTTGAACAATGTGGATGACAGAGAAACTTCCAGTTAGTTAAATATGTTTTCTAATGAAATAACTGCTTTATATAAATATATTGACCAGGGACTTTGTAACATTATTTGTAATACAGAAACAATTTCTCCTTTAGCTATGATTCAGTAGAGAACTATTAAGTAGAAAGAATTGAACAGTGTGTAATGTTTCTGTAACTATAGGGGTAATTAGGGAAAATGAAAGACAGATGTACAAGATTAATCAAATTACCAAAACAATCACCTCAGGAAAACATGCACACAAACAACAACAACAAAGTTAATAGATATTTATTAATAATAGCATTATACAACTATTTTAGATGTGTATTCCAACTTTAATATAAAAAGAACAATTAAGTATGGTTCTCTTATCATTAAACGGCTTTAGCTTTATATATGCATCATATGATTTCTATTAAAGCTGTATCTGCTGTTTATCATTTCAACAAATCAGGGCTTGGGATGGCAATCTGATTGGACAGGAGATTCAGAATTATCATTTTTATTGTTTTAATTTATTTTCTAATAATCAGTACTCTTTCTACCTCTTTTAAGATCAGTGTTGTTAATTATCATAACCTAGAAATCATTGTGACTTGAACTCTGATTTTCTGCATAGAGTTGAGCAAACAATATGCCAGTTTTGTATGTGTGCGTGGTTATTTTTACTACTTTATTTTTTTATTTTTTGCTTTATTGACTCTTCTCCAACTTTCAACTTTTTTTTGTTAATGTACTTAATGACATTTCTATTTCCATGGCCATGTCAAAGAATCAGTCCTTAAATTTATCTGTTATTTCTGTATTACTTTTAGTTCCTAAATTATTGATTTCTTCTTTCGAGTGTAGGTTTTTTCCCCAATGTATCAGAATGTTTCTAAAATTAATTTATTTTCATTACATACATGCATCTATATACATATAGATATATAAAGTACATTGTTATATAGCACATACGTGTACATAGCATAAAATCAGTTTTTACCTTGAAATTTAACATAAATATCTTCTTATTATTACTATTATTATTTTGAGATGGAATATCACTCTGTCACCAAGGCTGGAGTGCAATGGCAAGATCTCAGCTCACTGCAGTCTCTGCCTCCTGAGTTCAAGTGATTCTCATGTCTCAGCCTCCTGAGTAGCTGGGATTACAAATGAGCACCAACACGCCTAGCTAATTTTGAATTTTTAGCAGAGATGGGGTTTTACCATATTGGCCAGACTGGTCTCGAACTCCTGGCCTCAAGTGATCTGCCCACCTCAGCCTCCCAAAGTGCGGAGATTACAGGTGTGAGCCACTGCGCCCAACCACTATCTTATTATTTTGATACATTGGTACAGCCCATTTACATTAATTATTATTATAGGCATGTTATATCCTAGTTATGCTTGAATATTTTATGTTGTAGTTTTAAGTATTTTTTTCACTTAAGTATGCTATTACATTTTATCTATTTCATGGCATTTTTTGTTTTTAAAAATAATATAATTTCCATTTTTGTTCTACTGGTTAGTTTGTAACTATAATTTGAATCTTTTATCTTCCTAATACTCTCTATATTAGAAAGTAGCTCTCTATACTTATATCTTTTCTTTTTGTTAAATAATTGGTTCTTTGAAAAACTTGCTACTATAAATTATTTAGGATTTATTTTGACAAATTATTTCCAACTTAATAATATTAATTTAAAAATAATCATATGTAATTGAGGTAGTTGGTCTATAATACCCATAGCTGCATTATGTGTTACTGGTAATATCCATTTTACAGTCTTATAAATTGCATTAATTTGGATTTGTCAAGTTATTAATGAGGTAATTTTTTCCTACACTTTAAGAGTAAAATGTGGTATTAACTCAGAAGTAACACAAAAGTGGGGTTATAGCCTGGCTTGGTAATATACTACCTCTGTGACCTTGAATTTGTCACTCTAGTCACAAACTTCAATATTAGATGTGTTGAAAATAGTATCATCTACTTTATAGGTTTGTTAAAATTATAAAATAATGCTGGTAAGTGATATGCATAGCTATGCATATGGTATATATTTTGTTCTCAGAGGATGAGTTATTATTTTAATAACTTTTCTACTATTTTTACACTATTACCTTTATTACTGTTATTATTTATGTCATTCACTATTTGTCTTTCTTGTCTGGAGAAGTATTATGCTCCTTATTCTGTCAGGCTATCATATTGGAATTCTTTTTATTGATTACTACAATTTATTATCAGATTATCAAAATGTTTATATTTACAATACACACTTGTTTCTCCTCCCTTTTAATTTCATTTGGCTGTTGTCTGAACCACATGTTAAAATTGTATAAAAGCGATTAGACTAATGTTTACATTTTTCTTTTTTATTATCTTAAGATCACATGCATATTTATAAAATCCCATCATTTAAACAGCACGTAAAAATCTCCCACTCCATACACAAAAATGTGTTTCACTGGGTATATGTTCTCCGAGATAAAGAGGCAGAGGCCAGACGCGGCACGCCTGTAATCTCAGCACTTTGGGAGGCCGTGACAGGCAGATCACTTGAGGTCAGGAGTTTGAGACCAGCCTGACCAACATGGCGAAACCCGGTCTCTACTAAAAATACAAAAATTAGCCGGGCATGGTGGCAGGTGACTGTAATCCCAGCTACTCGGGAGGCTGAGGCAGGAGAATTGCTTGAAACTAGGAGGCGGAGGTTGCAGTGAGCGAAGATCACACCACTGCACTCCAGCCTGGACGACAAGTTAGACTTCATCTAAAAAAAAAAAAAAAGAAAAAGAAAAAGAAGACTGTTTGAGCCTTCTTTACAGTAAGGTGGCTCTGTGACTATGTTGTAACAAATGGAATATGTTTAGAAATTATATATCAATATACAAATTATATGCACTTAAGAAAAAGAGTATGTTGTTACTTTTCATTAATCACTGCCTTTTGGCTGAAAGGCAGATTTGAAGGTGGGAGCCTTATTGGGCCACAAAATAAAACTACATATTGAGAATGGGAGAGCAACAAAATAGGAACCCACATCTCTGATGGCCATTGAGCTGACTTCTCCTACATTTTACATATAAAAATAAATATTTATCATATTTAACTACTCATTTGGGGACTCTTTAAACAGAAACTACCACAGTCTAATGTAAGAATAGCTATACCTATTTAGGTGTTAAAGTGTTCATACAGGATTGTAAGGAATTATCTGCAGATAATTTTCTGCTAGCATAAGTTTAGGGGCCTAGGAGTTGATTTAGAAATGAAATCATAGAATTTAGGGATAAGGATTTGTTTTATTTATAAATAAAATCCCCTCAAGTCTTAGTAGGCTTCTTCTAGTTATTTTGCTTTAATCATTTCTGTGTTCAGGAACCCAAGCCAAACATCTCCTTTAGACATAGTTTAGACACTGGAAGTTCATCCTATTTTATTTGTTGTCTATTCTACTTTTTCCCTCAACTTAACAGACGTTAGCTCAAGGCCGTCTGAAAAAAAGAAGAAAGGTTGGAGTGGGAAGACACACATTTTTCCAAAGCCGATCTCCTGGCTATGATTAGAACTGTACTTCCTGCAAGCTCTCTTTCTATCTCTACATTATTATAGCCTCTCAAGAATTTATCAATTCTGCAAACACATTAATTTTTGTGTGTGTCGTGTTCTGTGTCATCCAATATGTCTAGAATTTCTTTTATTATACTTCAGATTGTCATTTTATAATTAGCTAGCATGTCACCTCTTGAGAAGCCTGGTCTGAGTCCTCCAGGAGTATTAGGAGATGTTAACATACCATGTAAGAAAGTGAACTTTAGGGACAAGCAGCCTGAATTTTAATTCCAGTTCTGGCACATGCATGACCAGGCTATAATCTTTGTATCTTACTTTCTTCTCTTACAAAATAAGGTTGAATCTAATATTACCTATAGAAGAAGGCTGAATTAAATGACACACGATTCAAGTAAATTGCTGAACACAGATTGTGTATGTATATATGCGTGGGGGGTATGTATATACATGTGTGTATACATGTGTGTATATACCTACGTGTGTATATGTGTGTGTGTGTATTTTCTCATGCTTAAAATGTTGGATATTTTTAGCAACTAATTAGAAACTCCAGTCTATGGACTATCATAAATATATATATACACATATATGTTCTAGCAATTCTCAAATTGTGTTATATATGTTATAGTTATATGACTATATAGCTTTTTGCTCACTAGTCTATTAGAGTTGCACATGGTGATAAAAGGGAGACACTCAATAATTATTCAAGTGTTGAATATATGAAGGTAGCATGGCAATCAGAGTTAACTCTCAATTCATTGATTTTCCAATGCTGGGATAGGCATCCCTTTATGGTTGCATAAGCAGAAATACATTTGTTTACCTTTCTTAGAGATTTATCTTTGGCTAGAGAAGAGGAAAATAAGGGGAAAATAAAGCAAAGTAAGTAGATTTACTTATACTAACATGAAAAATTCTCACTCTTCATATCATCATATCAAACGTTATAAAATATTCATGAATTTGAATTTGGTTAGCCATACTTCATTGTATCTCTGCTACTCTTCGAAGACCACCTGGCTGGAGAAGCTGTCAGTTTATGTCAGCAGGGAGCAACCTCGTCATATTGATCTGTTCAATGCATGTCAAGCAATCTGGCCTTTTATCAAAAGAAATATTCTAGAAAATAGCAAGCAATATTATTATAATCAGTTAAGGATGTAACCAACAATGGGAGGTGAAAACTATTCCTGAAGTTAACACCAATTATGACACAAAAATGCACCAATCTTAAAAAAAAGTTAAATTTCATATTCTCATAATTAAAACCTCCACCCTTCAAAAACGTAATTAAATAAATAAGAAAATTCAAGCAAGATGGTCAACTAGATGCAGCGACGAGCAGCTTCTCCCACCTAAAGACACTAGACCATCAAGTAGACTGACACACACTGAACAGATCTTTAGAAAGGAGGCATTAAGAGTGAAGAGAGGAGCCGGTCACGGTGGCTCAGGCCTGTAATCCCAGCACTTTGGGAGGCCGAGGTGGGCGGATCACGAGTTCAGGAGATCGACACCATCCTGGTTAACACAGTGAAACCCCGTCTCTACTAAAAATACAAAAATTAGCCGGGCATGGTGGCGGGCACCTGTAGTCCCAGCTACTCGGGAGGCTGAGACAGGAGAATGGTGTGAACCTGGGAGGCCGAGCTTGCAGTGAGCCGAGATCACGCCACTGCACTCCAGCCTGGGCGACAGAGCGAGGCTGTGTCTCAAAAAAAAAAAAAAAAAAAAAAAGAGTGAAGAGAGGGAAGACACAAACCCTGGGCTTAAAGGAGAGGAAACTGGAAATCCTGCACAGGGTTGTTGAGTGCCAGGATTTGTTCCTGGCTGTGAGTTGCTTGTAGGAAAGGGGTGAGTGAAATAGGCATAGAGTGGTGAACTCTACCATGAACCTCCAGTATCCTAGCTGTGGGAGACCCCATGACCCTAAAAGACATCTGAGTTGGCAGGGAGAACTGAATGGAGAGTTTGCAGAAACAGAACTCCAGCCTGCCTGGAGCCTGGAGGGTTTGGCATGGCATAATGGCTGCAGTGGAGCATGGCAGAGCATGGCCATGGGCACCCAAACCTGAAGATGCGCCATATTTCTCTAGGCAACTCTAGCTTTTGTTGGCTGCCAGATCTGGACAGAGAAGGGCTGTCTTGGCAGTAGGATAGGGCCAGTCTTATCTGAGCACCCCAATGTCTGCTGGCGTCTCCCAGGGCCTCTGCCTGGCTGCACCTACTTATAGTGCAGCCTCAGCTGCCCAACTGAAACACTTGCTAGGGGCCACTGACATCTATAGTTCTTTCACCAGCAAATCTCACCTAATCATCAGAGAGCTTTTGTTGATAGACCCCTGCCAGTGCACACCCATCCACAGTCTCCACCTGCTGGTGCGCACCCACCCACAGCCTTTCCTTGCTGGCATGTAGCCACCAGCAGCCTCCCCCTTCCACCTCGCTGGTGTGCATGCGTATGTGGACTCCCCAGCACCCCACCAGTGCACACGCAAGCTGGGCCTTCCATCGCCTCACTAGAACACATTTACTAGGAGCCCCCACTGAAATGTTGTTGTCAGCAGACTGGGAACACGTTGGCCCCAGCAGTGCTGCAGGTACTGAACCTCAAAGGGCCAGAAGAAAAAGCTGCAGGCCTGTTTCTAGCTCACTAGGCACATTGCCCAGGAGTACTGAGCTGAGCATTGGCCCACTGAAAGCATCCCGAAATGAAGCCAATCAACTAAACCCAACCATACCACAGTCAAATCCTCAAGGGCATCAAATAATATAAAAGCAAAATCCCCAATTCAAAAACAACAGCCTTAAATATTAAAGGAACATCAATCTACACAGATGAGAAACAACCAGCACAAGAACTCTAGCAACTCTAAAAGATAGAGTGTCTTCTTTCCTCCAGATGACCACACTAGCTCCCCAGGAATGATTCTTAACAAAGCTGAAATGGCTGAAATGACTGACATAGAATTCAGAATCTGGATGGCAAAGAAGCCAAACCTACTGAAATTATTACAAGAAATCAAAGAGGAAGCAGTCCTCCCTAAGTCATTCCATGATGTCAGCATCATTCTAACACCAAAACCTGTCAGAGATACAATAAAAAAAAAGAAAACTGCAGGCCAGTATTCCTAATGAACATAGGTGCAAAAGTCCTCAATCAAATACTAGCAAAGCAAATCCAGCAGTTCACCATGATCAAGTAGGCTTTATTCCTGGAAGTCAGGGTTGTTTCAACATAGGTAAGTTAATAAATGTGATTCCTCACATAAACAGAACCAAAAACAAAAACCACATAATAATCTCTATAGACACAGAAAAGGCTTTCAGTACAACTCAACATCTTCAGTTAAAAAACCTCAACAAACTAGGCATCAAAAGAACATACCTCAAAATATTAACATCTGTTAATGACAGATTCACAGCCAATACTGTAATGAATGGGCAAAAGCTGGAAGCATTCACATTGAGAACTGGAACAAGACAAGATGCCCGCTGTCAATCCTCCTGTTTAAGATGATGCTAGAAGTCCTAGCCAGAGCAATCAGGCAAGAGAAAGAAAGAAAATGCATCCAAATTGGAAGAGAGGAAGTCAAACTCTCTTCCCAGATGATATGATTCCATACTTAGAAAATGCCATAGTCTCTGCCCAAAAGCTACTAGAACTGATAAATTCAGTAAAGTTTCAGGATACGAAATCCATGTACAAATGTCAGTAGCATTTCTATACACCAATGATGTCCAAACTGGAAGCCAAATCAAGAATGCAATCCCATTTGCCATAGTCACATAAAGAATAAGATACCTAGGAATATAGCTAACCAGGGAGGTAAAACATCTCTACAATGAAAATTACAAAACACTGCTGAAAGAAAACAGAGATGATACAAACAATTGGAAAAACATTCAATGGTCAAGGATAGGAAGAATCAATATCATTAAAATCAATGTTGTTAAAGACAATTTACAGACTCAGTGCTATTTTTATCAAACTACCAAAATCATTTCTCACAGAATTGGAAAAAACTATTTTAAAATTCATATAGAACCAAGAGACAGCCCAGCAACCAAAAGAACCATAAGCAAAGGATGAAGCCAGAGGCATCTCACTACCCAACTTCAAAGTATGCTACAACACTATAGTAACCAAAACAACATGGTACTGGTACAAAAACAGACATACAGACCAAAGGAACAACTTAGAGACCCAGAAATAAAGCTGCACACCTACAATAATCTGATCTTCAACAAGGTCAACAATCACAAACAGTAGGGAAAGTATTCCTTATTTAATAAATGTTTCTGGGGTAACTGTCTAGACATACACAGAAGATTGAAACTGGACCGCTTGCTTTCACCATATACAGAACTCAACTCAAGATGAATTAAAGACTTCCTTTGTAACACACTGGCTTTTAAAGCTTTCTATCTCTTAATGAATACCCTTTTCTGCTTCCTGTTTTATTATTTTATTTTCTATTAATATTCCATTGCTTTTTCCCCTCTGATTTTGTGAGAACTTGCAATAGTCCAGTAGCCCTTCTCTATAAGCTAGTAATAATATGATTATTTAGAAAGATGAGTTCTAACTATTCTTCTTGGCTATTTGGGTAGCTAAACAGAAATTTACTACATACATACATACATAGTGGTACTATTTTTTCCTAAAAAAGGCTGTGACATTTTTCCTTTGTTAATTGAAGAGGAAAATCACTATTTTTACATATGTCTCAAATAAATTAAATTCAGTTTGTATTTGGGTAATTTGCAGAGACAATATTTTATCAAGATCTCCCAGACAGGAAACAACTCTTAAAAATTTTAGTCTCATAAATGGGCTGCAAATTTATCTTGCACTTCATTTTAATGCAAACCTTCATTCAAAGCTAATATGCATAAGACACAGTTTTAATAGTGTAGTTCCCGAAGCCAAAATACATAGTGTCTCTACATTCGAGAAATTCAGTAATATGATCTCAACCACTACATTGTGTTGATAATTATTTTCCTGACGTTTTCCATATAAATCCAAACAAGCTGTCTCTCCTACTTTCTTGCCTGATCTATCCCGTTCACTCTATCTAGAGCATTCTTTGTCCATCTCCTGTTTACCTGTGCAATCCTCCCTTTCCTTGTCAACTCAATGCCTTAGTTCTCTAAGTACATTCTTAATCCTAAAGCCTAGAAAGGAATATACCTAAACAGTTAAGGTTATAAATGTGATATGGGTACCCAGAAAGTACTTCTGTCACTCCTTTATTAGAAGCTTGTTTTCTAAATTTTCAAACCCAAATGTAGGCATCCCACTTTACTTTAAAAATAGAAAAGTCAGTAGGCTTAAAAAAAGAAGGCAATCAGTGTGAGAGGTAAGCAACAGGTGAATGGCCTCACAGACACAATCCATTTATTAAAACACACCATGTTCTCTTTCTGTCTGAACATTCACATATCCCATCCCAATCAAGTAGAAATAAATATTACTGCTAAATTATGAATATGATAACTGCAGAGAACTATTCATTATCTATTGTCTGGCATCCTCTGTGTTTTAGTCAAAGATAATTTTTAAAAATCAAACAAACCTTGTTAAAAATATACAAGATATCTAAATGTATTGTAGTTGCTTTTTAAAAGTCAGATAAAAAGAGAGCTACCACTAAATCTTCAAAAAAATTAAAACATATGTTGGAATGTAAAAGTTACCAGTATTTTAGTCTGGGAGGAGTGTTTTTGTCAAGAATGAGCTCCTGACTGATAAAGAAAAATTGTCTCTGGGTTATTTCAACATCACTACAGCCCTAGATAAAAATTTTAAAAAAGGTTATTCCAGTTATATTTAAATAACTTTCATAGACAGCTTATATCCTAGCATCTTTGGGTAGTTTTCTGAGGAGTGCATTCTCTGAAGATGCCCCTTACATTCATTTAACATTTTAACTTGCAGCCAGTTTAGCCCTCCACATGATGGCAGGCCTTTGCAAAAAACCACACTAAATGTTTCATGTACCAAATAAGGGTGAGTAAAATTCCCCAATTTACTAATGTGATACCTGCATATGCAGCCACACAAATAATGCATGAGATTTGATTATTCTAATATAATTTCTAAGATGAAAATTTTAGACCCATTCAAAATGAAAGTACATATACATAAAATATTTTACATATAAATTCAGGTGATTCCTACGCTTTAAGAAGCCATGGGGTACTCACCATGATGACTTTAAAACAAATGGTCACAAGTTTCTTCATATTTTTCCCTTTGAGAGATGGAGGTCAATGTCAATCTCCCTAAATCTAGGTGGCCTATGATTTATTTGTAACCAAAAGAACCTGGCATGAGTGACAATGGTTGGCTAGGTCATAATAGTTGATTTATCTTTCACTTTATTTGCTGGAAAATTCATACTTGAAGTCCTGAACCACTGCCTAAGAAGCCCATCTAATGCGAAGCCACCATACTGTGAGAAAGCCAGTCCACATGGAGAGGTCATCTGTAGGTTCTCTGGTTGGCAGTCCTGGTCTTTGAGTCCTCCTAGTCTTGGTGCCAGGCATAAGAATGAATAAATCCTCACACGTGTCCAGCCTTGAGTGATCAAGAAACTTCTAGGTTTTGAACATTTTCAGCAGAAGAATCATGGGGCAGAGATAAGGATCTCCTGTTGTATCATTTCTAAATTTCTAACCAGCATACCCATAAACAAATACGCAATGAGCTTTTGTTCATTTGTTTGTTTTGCTTTGTTATTTGTTTGTTTTTCTAGCCAACTAAATTTGGGGTAATTTGCTGTGTAGAAATGCTAATAACACCAACCTATGCTAAAAAGCTTACGTCTATAGAGAACAGGACTCTAGAAACACTGAGTTTGACTGAACTTAGCTGGTCACCTAAGGGATTGAGAACAGAAACATTTTTGATATTCTGTCTATGCCTGGAAATGCAGATTTATGAAAATGAACTAACCTTTTTAAAACTCAGTTCACCAAGTTAGCATGTGACAGCCTCAACTGTGACCTTTTAAAAGATATACAGAAATTCAAAATAAAAAGACATAAAATGATCATTAAAAGCAAAAAAAAAATAGTAAAGTTAATCTTCAGAGATCATACTTTTGGGAATCCCTTTCCCAGTGATCATACTATTTCACCTCCTAGATTTGGCACATAGCCAAGGTACTTTCCTTGTACTGATCAGGATATATTAGGCTTGGGTGTGAAACTATATTAATCATTACTCTCTTTGTGGCATAACATAAAAAGGTTCATGTATTCTCATAACAGAGATTTAATGCATGGATGGTGGTTTTTGAGGGTAGGGAAATTTTTCTGTATAGCCATTCCATAATCAGACGGAAAGGGCTCTTTCATCTTCTAGTAGCTCCATCATTGAAGACATGCATCTCTGCATTTTGATGAGAAAATATAAAAAAGATCTTAAGAATTATGTGAGATATTTTAGGGGCCAAGCTTGAAAGAATCTTAGAAAATATTTGCCTATATATTTTTGGAACCCCCAGATAAAGTCTAAAATTTGACTATAAAACAAGCTGGAAATATAACCTTTCTGTGTTCCCAGAAAAAAAGAAAAAAAGGTCATGCATTTGGATGAGCACCTAACAATGACTTGTCAAATCCTGCTGAAAACTAAATTCTGATATTTTATCAGTTTTTTTACTCTACATCTCTTTTGGGTGTCTGGCAAATCTGACTCTAGACAGTATTCATTTTTGGACCTTTCATGATATGAATGGCCTGTTATATTAAGGATTAGTGATAATTAAATTCAAAGAACAAAGCAAAATTTATCAGAAATTATGGGAGATAAGTTTAAAAATACAAACACAATGTGCTTTGATTCAAAGTAAAAATTTCATCCCATTTGGTATATTTTTTGACCAAAGAAGGACATAAGGGAAAGACAAGAAGTATAATTCATTGTATCATAAAGGTAATATGGCCGGGCACAGTGGCTCATGCCTGTAATCCCAGCACTTTGGGAGGCTGAGGGGGGTGGATCACCTGAGGTCAGGAGTTAGAGACTAGCCTTGCCAACATGGTGAAACCTCATCTCTACTAAAACTACAAAAATTAGCCAGGTGTGGTGGTGGGCACCTGCAATCCCAGCTACTTGGGAGGCTGAGGCAGGAGAATCAGTTGAACCCAGGAGGCGAAGGTTGCAGTGAACCAAGACCGTGCCATTGCACTCTAGCCTGAGCAACAAGAGTGAAACTCCGTCTCAACCAATCAGTCAGTAAAAATAAATAAATAAAGGTGTAATACATTTGGGCAAACACAAAGTGAAGCAATTAGCACAAAAGCAGTTTTTTGTCACTTTAATATGTAAATTCTTTGTTTTAGACAGTATAATTCATAATATTCTGAAGTCTCTATTTTTAGTATGGAAAATGATACACAATTTTTCTGGTTAAAAGTGCATTTAATTATTTCTAATAGTATTATTTCTCAATTAAATCAAAGTAATTATTGATTGGTCTGTTGGAAATGACCAAGCAAGCAAACATTCTGGATGGATCTACAACTATGTAATAATCCCATTCATCAAAATTACTGACATCATTTTTCCCTACAGAAATGTTCTCAGTGGAGTAAAAGCGTTGTTTATTCTTCAGAACTATTCTCTTAACAAGAGTGTAGTGACAACTGGTATTTAAATAACATCAAAATACGTGAATAATAACAGATAAATTACTCAGCCATAATGTTTTTGTTTCTTCTAAGAGTAGCTCCTATTGAAATAATCATCACTCAGATAAAAATTATGTAATCTGGAAAAGATGTTAAAAAAGAGACCAACAATATGAAGGAACTGGAGAGAAACTTAAAGCAGGCAGAAACTGGAGGGAGATGGAGCCTTAAGAAAGGAACTGGACCAGTTTATACTTGTGGTTGTAACATTTTGCCTAAAAACACTTGGCAGGCTAGGAGGTGAGAGACAGTGAGTAGTGGTGTATTCAAACAAAAAGTTATAGTCTTTCTAAACTTAAGAATCAGAGAATAGATTTTAGCACTTCTTGCTTGGCTGGAAAGTGATAGAGGATATAAGATTTGTGGTTACAAGCTTTTTCGCGTGAAAGAACATACCTAGCTTTGGGAGTTGTGGGAGTGAGGAAGGCCACTGTACCAGGAATATAGAATAATAAGTAAATGTTCATGATTATCGATATTATTAATATTACATTATTGGTTCCATTTATCTATCATGAAATGTCAGCCAGGCACTGATAGACATTTAAAAGAGATAAGTTATATACATAAATATTTTTAATGTCGTAGGGCAGAATATAATGTTAATTTTTATTTTTGAACATAATACAAAACAGAGATACAGAAAATCACAAAAAACAAATTTATAGCTTAATGATTATTAAAATGTGTAGTCATTCTTGTAGCCACCACCCAGTAGAAACAGAACTCCACCAGACACCAACGAAACTTCAAGTAGCTACATCCCAAGTATAAGCCCTGCCTCCTTCCATAAATAACCATCATCTGACTTTCAAAGTCACCACTACCTTGTATTTATTTCATGGTTTATTATCTTTTAAGCCCCTTTATTTTATACATCTCCCCTCAACCATTATTTTCCCTTACATTTTATCTGTTAAAGAACCCAGAGCATTTGATCTATATAAGTTTACAGAAAAACAGCTTCTGTGTTCTCTGCAAATTGGGAGCTAAAAGCATAAATGTGGCCAGACTATTGCATTCTTTTATCAAGATAAATCTAATAAGTCTGCTCTCTCTTTTTTTGTTGTTAGCTGTTGTTGAAGTGTCATACCTACATCCATTATTTCCTATGGATTTTCAGAATAGTGATATTCTAAGTCTTTCAGAGATAAACAATATTGGAGTTCAGTTAAATAGTAAGAACAAATTTTATTCAGTAATATGTTATTGCAGTAAAGAGTCCAGCATGACCTGAATTCAACTTTGATTTTTATACATGTGACTGGGCATTTTAAAGATAGAATGAAGGAATAAGGAGGTGGGAGAAAGAGAAGTGCTCAATAGAGTCAGGAATGTTAAGCACTGTTAAAAGCCAAAGCAGGAAGTGGGCATTGATCTATGTGAAATTCATCTGGATTTGCTAACTGGCACTTATTGATGTTCAGTTTCTACCACCTTAAACCCCAGAGCCTGGGAGCCAGGGGCCCAATCTTCAGGTACTAATTGGAATAAACTTTATTTTTTTTTTCCCAGCCTTTGAGGAAGACTAGGGTCATCCTAGAGTTGTGGCCATGAGCTGTTAGAAACTACGTTCGTGTTTTCTTCTAGTCTTTATAGGCCAAGACTGAAGGTTAGTCAAGAAATGGCTCAGAGGAGCCTGGCTCGAGTCAGGTCAAGGAGAAACTCTTTGCTATCTCTTTTTACTTATTAGGAAATGTAAAGGAACAATTCTGCTAATCTGCTATTTGATTATCCAGTGGTACCAAATTCATATAAAAAGGGAAGAGCTTTATCTCTCAGGTACAGGTTTTCTAGATAAAGAATTGTTCTTAATTATCTTTGAAATTATAATAATCCCCTTCATCTGAGATTTCACTTTCTGCGGTCTCAGTTACCTGGTCAGCCATGTCTGAAAATATTAAATGCAAAATTCCAGAAATAAACAATTCATAAGTTTTAAATTGTGTGTTGTTCTGAGTAGTGGAATGAAATCTAGCACCATCCTACTCAGGCCCACTGAGATGCAAATCATCTCTTCACCCAGCATATCTAGGCTGTATATGCTACTACTCCTTTAGTTACATAGTAACCCTCTTACTTATCAGGTAAGCTGTTGTGGTATCACAGTGCTTGTGTTCATGTAGCTTTTATTTTGCTCAATAATGGCCCCAAAGTGCAAGAGTAATGTTGGCATACTGCTGTGACTGTCCTGTTTTATTGTTGTTATTGTTTGTCTTTATGCCTAATTTATGCATTAAGTTTTATCACAAGTATTTGGGCATATGCAAAAGGAGTATATATGAGGTTTGATACTATCCACAATTTCAGGCATCTTGGAACATGTCCTTTGCAAATAAGAAATGACTACTGTCATTTAAAAAATATATTATTGTGAATTCACTCATTTAAACCTCTTTGGTGGGTTACAAAAATTTTTATCATCATCCTTTTTGAATATTAAATTGTTCCAATTTTTTCCAATAGGTTATTCTTAGAGTTTAAATTATTTGTGTAAATTGATATATGGATTATATACATAAAGATTAAAAGTGGTATTTGGGTTTTGTTTTTTAAAAATAGCCAGGTTGTTCTGTACCCAAACAAAAAACTTTTAAATCATTAAGATACCCTGTTAACTCTTTATACTGTGTGTGTTTGTACATGTGTGTGCATATATGTCTTTGTGTATGCATATTTGTTTATGAGTATATGTGCACATGCATATGTGTTCCTGTATTTGTGTTTGGAGAAACTGTGGTCTCTCTTTCCAGAATTGTCTGCCACTGACCTCAGTGTGGCTTTATTATATTTCTTTCCTTTGAATGTTTTAAATATTAATTCCAAGATCTTCTGACCTGAACCTCTGCTACCAAGAAAGTTAATGATAATTTAATTTTCTTCCCCTTGTAAATAACTAGCTGGTTTTTATATTTGGCTAGTCATCCAGAAAAATAATTGAAACTCCAATAGCTTATATTACAGTGAGTATTGGCTTTCTGTTTTGATATTTTCAAGTACTGTATATGATATGATCATTCTACATGTAGTTTCATATCATTCTATATATAGTTTTATATACTGTTAGGAAGCTTTTAAGTTTTTGTTTAGTTATAGTTTGTTCTATTTTGTGAAATTGCTTTTGTGTTTCAGAGACTCCTATTATCCATATGTTGGGTATCTTTTCTCCAATCTAATTTTTATCACTTTCTTTTAAATGTGTTTTAACAAAACTTTTTGTTTATTTTATTTTACTTTCGGTCTACTTTATAACCTTCTGTTTTTCTTAAGGCATTAGCTGTTGTTTATTCACTCAAGTGTTTCTTGTGTTTTAGAGTTTGTTTATGAAATGATGTATTTTTCTCTTCTAATTATTTCCCGAGCTATATCACTTCAGATGTGTGTGTCTTCTAATTTTGATATATGTTAGCTTCTACGTGTTACCTTTATTTTCAATGTGTCTTTAGTTTGTTTTGAAATAAAAATTATAGTTTTGGGGTTTACTCTGATCATGTCTTTTCTGCCATGCTTTTTTTTTCATATTATTTTTTCTTGTAATGATCTGGTATTGTATTTGACTTTTGTGCTGCTTAATTTTTTGTAATGAATTTTCCTGAATGTTTAGAAGAATATGTGATTTAGAGTAACTTTCCTATTAGAGGTAGATCCCTCTTCCATTGTTTTATTGTAAAATAAAACAAATAAACAAACAAACAAAACAATGGTATCTTGTTTTTGAGATTTCCTGACTCTGTCCCATTTCCCTGCTTTTATTTGCAACTTCTGTTTCCACCATCTTTCCCACCTGTACACTCAATTTTGATTCCATTCTTGACAATTTCTCTTCAGTTTTGACCCTAAACTGGAAGGGAACTTTAGTAGGTAAGTTTAGAGAGTTAAAAAGTGAGAACTACCCTAGCCTTCAGTATTACCGTGTGTCTTGTTGGAATCATTTGTTATCAGAGATGACAAATATTTTCATCTCTCTAGTTTCAGCTGATTTTTTCAGATTGGCCCATCCAACCTTCTAGTGATTGCCTTATTGGTAATTTGGAATCATCCACATCTCAGGAACCCCAGAATCCCTGCTGTTTCCTCTTATTTATCTTGAGCAGACTCAGGTACCAGCCTGTTTGTTGCCCTTTGTATTTTATATTTTTATTTGTGTTTTGGAAATAGTAGAGATATCTGGACATCTTGCTCTGTTGTAGATGTTTCTATTTGGTTTTCATTCTGATATTTAAATGTCCTCTCTGTCTTTATAGAGGTATTCAAATGAGATGTAAAATCTATACTGAGACTGCCATCTTTCCCTGTAGAAAGTGTGTTGGTACTAACCAACAAATGCCTGGCCTAGTGCTTGGCTTATAAAGACTTAATAAAATATTTATTGACTCCACAATGGAATCAATGTATAAATTCATTCATATACAAATAACTTTCTAAGTATTTGGTTACAAAACCACTTTCTCCTTTATGTTACTTGAATAGGAGACAGTGAGTCTCACCCTGTCATCAGTTTGATTTATTGTAGGATGACTATGCAGTTTGTCTTAAAAAAAAATGCACTTGGGTGTGAACTAGAATACATGTAACAACTGTACTGGGTTAACAGGTGAAAACAAACAAACAAGGACATATGGTCCCCCTATTTATACTTAAGTATTTTTGCTTAACCTGTTCGAAGAAGATCACATATACTCCCCAAAAGCACAACAGTCACCTCTCCAAATGTGAAGGTTTCTTATCTCACAATTAAAATTCCTTAAAATACATTAATTAATTTGGAAGCACAGGGAACAATAAATTCCCAAGTGTGGTGATAAGATAGACTAGTAGGAATAAGTTATATTATGTTTTAAGATTTACGTTTAATTTCAAATTTTGTCAAATAGCACATGTGGAACAATACTATCTAAAAGAAATATTTCAAAATAAGAATAAGAAATAGGTCCTATAAATAATGTCTATTGACCTGTTCCCGAGACACACTTAGGCAAGGTAGAATAAGAAGACTGGCAAAGACCAACTATGTATGTAGAATATAACCAAAAAACTAATTGTGCTGCATCATCTATTTTACTGACAAGGAAATACCTAGTGGAGGTGTAGTACTAATATCAGAAGTCAATCCATTAGAATAAATATTTTAGAAATCATCAATCCAAGCAAAAATATACTGTCCCAAAGTATCAATGTGGTGCCTGGACTGTCTACCATCTCATATGAACATTTATGTTCATAAGTAAATGTTCATAACATAAATAACATTTATGTTATTTTAACGTGTTTCTGTGCTTTTTAGCTCATAAAATAGCTGCTATTATATGTTTAATTTTATCTCTAAGAAAATATTTAATACTTAGTAATAATGAATTTCTTTACCAAAAACTCAACGAAGAATATTTCTAAAAATACAAATTTTAAAAATCAGCTTTCAGCAACTATAATTTAAATTCATCTGAATAATTTAATAGTGAAAATCCTACCTATATTAAATACTAAGATCCGAAGAGTTAATTTGTAGCAAGAACCTTATAGAAAAAACATTTATTCTTGAATTCATAGTCTTAAGCAAATGAAAATAATGAACATGTACAGTATTTTCTATTATATATTTATTTTTTCTTGTAGTTAAAATATACACAAATACTAAAACAGTAGGCATTGCTCCTTATTTTAAAGTTTTATCTTGGATTATGTAGATACTTTTTCATGATATTATTTTTAAATTTAGACCACCTATGTATCCTTCCAGGGCATATTTTATGGACAATAACTTGACTATATTATTTTTCTTATACAGAAAGAAAAATAATATGCCTTACTGGTATAATTATGTCAATATTATCGTGATAACAAATAATTTGGAAAAAATATATATATCTCTCTTTATATATAGAGAGAGAGAGTGAGATTCCAGGACTCTGTAACTTTCTCCTTTTGTTCTTTCTTTTGACAAATGGAGGCACATTCAATCTAACTTTCTTCTTCAAGAAACTATGCTGTACAGTATGCTTCAATACCTTAGCTTTGCTCTTTGAAGCATCTTTCACCTTAGTAGGCCACAAATCAGTGTTTTGCATTTCATTTATCCCTACTGGCATAGTGAAGTGCTCCCAAATGGGCTCCTCAATCTTAATCAGAATGTTTCGGAGCTCAGCCAGAATCACCAACATGAAGCCCTTTGGCCATAAGGGGCTGTGATGACCACTCATCCTCCTTTTCACTCAGGACTGTGAAATGGATAGGTTGTCCAAAAACAGAGTTTGCCATCATATCTGCATCATTTTAAAGTGATATATATCTATTGCTATAATGTGTGTGTATGTGGCAGGGGACTTCTCCTACTCAGTGTATGACCTTTTAATTATTGCAGAAAAATATTTGACAGATACACTCCCAACTGTTGGCCAGGTGGCTTAATTATACTAAATTAGCTTTATTCTTAGATTTTGTTTATTCATGACATTTGAATATTGTGGTGGAAGAACCCTTCCTGTAATCAAAAACATATTTTACTTTGTTCTGTGAAGCCTACAAGGGACAGAGGAAGCAGTAGAATTCTCCTTTTACAGTGTAGGAATTCACAACAAAATTTAGATTAGCTCATCCAAGTACAATGAGATCTTTGATATAACAAGAATTTTCCTATTGTCTATGAATAACATCTGATAATAAAAAGCCAAAATCAACAATGACAGTAGACTTATTCTCTACCATACCTATCAACACAAATACACAAACTCAGACATGCACACACATGCACACACAGTCTCATATACTGTCATATACTCTGGCATAATTATGTCAACACTATCATGATAACAATATGTTATTTAATTATATATATAATTATATATAACAATTTATATATATATCTAAATCATTCATATATATATATATATATATATATATATATATATATATATATATAAAATATACAGAAAAAGAGATATTCCAGGACTCTGTAATTTTCTCCTTTTGTACCATTTGGCTTACAAAAACTTAATAAAATATTTATTGAATCCACAACATAATTGATGTATACATTAATTCATATACAAATAATTGTCTAATAATTAAAAGCAAACTGTCTCCTAACAGCACATCTCTGTTAGTTATATACTGCTGTTTTCAAAAGTTCCACAGAACTTAGAGCTGTAAAACAAACATTTACTTTCTCATAGTTTCTTTGGATCAGGCATCTGGAAATGTATGGATCTTCTTCCTTAGGATTTCTCACATGCTTAAATTGAGGTGGTGGCTGCACGATAGTGACTCCAAAGCTTATCTGGGAAAGGATTCATTTCCAAGCTCAAATGGTCATTGGCAGTATTTAATTTATTGCTGGCTGTTGGACTGAGGTCCTCAGTTCTTAGCTGGCTCTTAGATAAAGGCTGACCAAAATTCCTTGCCAGGCAGTTTTCTCCAACATGACAGCTTGTATGAAGTCATGAAGGCAAACGAGTTTGCTAGCAATATGAGATGATACGCCTTTGTAACCTAATGATAGAAGTGATATTGCATCAACCTTTCCATGTTCTATGGTTAAAGAAATCCGCTAGGTTCAGCCCAACCTCAAAGGGTGGGGAGTTACACAAGGGTGTGACTATCTGGAGGTAGAGATCATAGGGGTGGTTTTATTTTTAATTTTTAAGGCAATAGAGTTTTATTAGACCCTCTTTTGGAATTAAAAAGTAAAATATTAGCCTCCCACATTTTTGAACATTAAAATTTAGACCACTTTCTCAGCCTGAGTAGTGTCATTACTTAGATACAGTGAATACAGAAACCCCAAGGGGCTGAAACTCATAAGACCATTATGAGTTTCACTAATAGGTTTCCACTACTAGGCTGTGTGACCTTGAACAAATTGTTCTGTATATGACTCAATTTCCTCATGAAAGAAATAAAGAAAGAAAGAAAAAGACAGAAAGAAAGAAAGAAAGAAAGAAAGAAAGAAAGAAAGAAAGAAAGAAAGAAAGAAAGAAAGAATTGGCCTTGACCTTCCCCAGGTACTAGTATGTGGAGATAGAACATGCACCCAGAAAGAAAGAAAAGAAAAGAAAAGAAAAGAAAGAAAGAAAGAAAGAAAGAAAGAAAGAAAGAAAGAAAGAAAGAAAGAGAAAGAAAGAAAGAAAGAAAGAAAGAAAAAAGAAAGAAAGAAGGAAAGAAAGAAAGAAAGAAAGAAAGAAAGAAAGAAAGAAAGAAAGAAAGAAAGAAAGAAAGAAAGAAAGAATTGGCCTTGACCTTTCCCAGGTACTAGTATGTGGAGATAGAACATGCACCCAGAAAGACTGAAACATCAGAGAGTGATATGACCCACTGCTGTGACTCAGGTAAAGGGGGAGATAGCAAGAATAGAATAGAAAGCCGGCTATAAAAATGGTAGAACCGAACATGGACTGATTTCTTTTTTTTCCTTTTTTTTTTTTTTTAAGGTAAGCTTCCCAGTGATAACACCATGGCCCAGGAAAAAATATTCAGTAAGAACCAGGGACCTTTCAAAAAGATGCCAAGACAATTCCACAGGGAAACAGCAATCTTTTCAGTAATCAGCAGTGGAACAAATAGATATACACAAGGAAAAGAATGAAGTTGGACTCCTACTTTACAAAATATACACAAATTAACTCAAAATGGATCAAAGACCATGGTGAGAACCAAAACTATAAAAATTCATAGAAGAAAACATAGACATTAATCTTCCTGACATTGGATTAGGCAATGGTTTCCTAGACAGGGCACCAAAACCACAAGTGACAAGAAAAAATAATAGGTATCTTGGCCATCAACAAAATTAAAAAGTTTTATACTTCAAAGGACACCCTCAAGGAAGTAAAGACAACCCACAGAAGGGTGAAAATGTTTACAAATCATGTATGTTAGAAAAGCATCTAGAATATACAAATGGTCCATACAACTCAATAATAAAAGGACAATTTATCCCCAGTAATCTAGTGGTTAGGAAAATAGAAAACTTGAAATAAAATACAAGCCAATTAAAAATGGGCAAGCAATTTGAACAGACATTTGCCCAAAGAAGATCTATATATGTACAGAGTTATAAATATAGAGACCTTTATATATATAT
The DNA here is from genome assembly GCF_000001405.40 of Homo sapiens. NCBI lineage: Eukaryota > Metazoa > Chordata > Mammalia > Primates > Hominidae > Homo > Homo sapiens. Next base: position 56,481,506 of record NC_000010.11, read on the forward strand.
ATATATATATATATATATATATATATATATATAAACCATTAGACACATGAAAAGATGGTCAACATCAGTAGCGATCAGTGTCATGAAAATATAAACCACAATGAGATACCACTTCATATCCACTAAGATGTCATAATCAAAAAGACAGAAAATAGCAAGCATTGATGAGGATGTAGAGAAATTGAAACCCTCATACACTGCTAGTGGGGATGTTAAATGACACAGTTGCTGTAGAAAAAGTTGCTGTTGATGTAGAGAAATTGAAACCCTCATCTTCTGCTAGTGGGAATGTAAAATGGCTTAGTTGCTGTGGAAAACGGCCTGGCAGTTCCCCAAAAAGTTAAACACAGAGTTGCTATATGACCTAGCAATTTCACGCCTATGTATTAAGTTGGTGCAAAAGTAATTGTGGTTTCTACCATTAAAAGTAATGGCAAAACCACAATTGCTTTTGCACCAACTAATATATTCCCCAAAGAAATGAAAAAATACATTCACACAAAACTTGTACAAATTCATAGCATCATTATTCATAATAGCCAGAAAGTAGAAACACCCCAAATGTTAATCAACTGATGAATGGATTAAAAAATGGGGTGTATCCATCCATACAATGAAATATTGCTCAGCAATAAAAATGAATGAAGAACCATGCTTAACTTGGATGACTGTATAAAACATTATGCTTAGTGAAAGAAGCCAGTCACAAAAGACTGTGTTACTGTATTATTTCATATATATGAAAAGTCCAGAAGAGGTCAATCTTATATAGAAAGTAGATTCATGATTGCCCAGGAGTTGGGGATGGGGGAAGTAGGGGAATGATAACTAAAGAGTCCGAAGTTTCTTTTGGGATGATGGCACTGATCTAAAATTGATTGTAATTCTGTGAATTGATTGTGGTTCTATGAATTTACTGAAAATCATAGAATTGAACACTAGAAATGAGTTAACTATACAGTATGTTAATTATATCTCAATAATAGGGGAGGTTTTAGAGATCTGTTTTTCACACTGATTAAAGGGAAGTACTTGCTAAGAGCTGGACAAGTCAGTTCTGTAATCATTGGCTCGTTACCCATTTTGACTAATTGAATTTTCAGAAGCAGATACTGAGATGGAGTATAGGAAGTAAAATGTTCATTAAAGGGATCCATCAGACTGGAGCTAAAGATCTGTGACTATGGAATATAAAATTAAATTTTGATTGTATTCTATTATATCTGGTCCTTTCATATGGCGTAAGACTTTTGATGTGGTTACCTGAAGTGCATAGATATCTAATAGTGAAATACAAGTGTGTTTTGTTTCTTAAATTCCTGGCAAAAGGTTCAGCTTCAACATAAAAGTTCCAGAACCAATTGAAATTAAATATAGGTAAAGAAATAGCTGTTTTCCTTCACTTCTTCGTAAGTATCTTCATTAGTTCATCATCAGTATCTCTCCCCTTGTCTAATTGGAAAATTATTTTTAATTTTAGTAGTCTTTTATGAAAGTCAGTATTGTTGTCTCAGATATAGGAGTTATAATCCTGGCACATGCTCGTATTATGAGAAAAATTAAATGAAACAATATATGCAGAATGTCTGGGTCAGAGCAGGTGCTCTTATTAATACAGGAAGGATAGAGACAGACACCTCAGTGATTTGTTGAGGTTCAATGCCAGTTTAGGGATAATCTGAAAAACACTTTTTAGTCTGTTTCAGGATACAGAGGCAGGAAAACAGTCACATACAGAATATACTTGGAAAAATTGCCAAGTATCTGAGTTAGGTAGAGAAAGAACTTCCTAGATTGTTTTTAATGCTACAATGCAGGAAGCAGACTAGCTTATAAACATGTTATTGAATAAAGAAAATATATCTCCTTTAGATACAAAAAATCTTTTATCCTTTTAAGATCCAATAATAACATAGGCTTCAGTAATGTAAACTGTGTTATATTTTGAAATATCTAAGCTACCTTTCTCTATAATCATATCTTTATTACATTTTGTCTGAAACTGCATGCCAAATTCTTTAAACTTAAAGCAGCATGTGAAATACAGCATTTGCCTAGTACTATTTTTTTTCTCCAGAGATAAGTATAAAATGATATGTGATGGTCTATTTTATGCTTATTATATTATAAAAAGCACTAAAATAAGAAAGTGGAAAACAAGAAAGCAATATCTGATCACTTTGCCCTGGCATGCCCACCACCTTATGGTATTAATAAAACTGAAAATCCCCAAAAGTTGTACCGGTTTTTGTTTTTACGTTTACCTTAAAAAAAACTATGAAACTGAACTCTACTTCTAACAGAGTAGTCCTAAATATGAGGGAAATTTTTTAATATGTCAAATTGTCCTACTGATATTTATACTTAGAAAATATGCAATGTAGAATAAAGAGAATTAATGCTATTCTTTGCTCTTCATTGCCTTCTGCCTAAGTGCATACCATTACAAGACATTTTAACACAATTATTCACAATGAAATGTGATGATTGCCATTCAAAATTATAACCAAATTGACACCATTAAAATTAACCAAATGAGCCTGCTACCTGTCCATCTGTTGGTAAAAGTAAAGGGAATTGACAACTACTACACACTGTGCTTGACACTGCAGGGGAAGCAAAGATGAGGTTTTATAACTTCACCTCACCTCACCTCATCCATTCATGAAGACTGGAGAATAATTTAATACTGGAATATCATACAGCATAAGATAATTGCCCTTGAAGAAGTTTATAGAAATGACACTTGGAATTCCAAAAGAGCAAAACAATCCATTTAAGAATAAGAAAGTTATTGTGGAGAGGATAGGATTTAGACTGGACTTGGAATGAGTGGGGAGAGTTTCAGTTTCTGGGGAAAGATGATAGGCAGTTTGACAGAAAAGGAGTAAGCAAAAGCATGGAGTGCGTGTTGTGATTTGCTTAGGAACTAGCATGCATCTTATAGAGCAGAACCATAGGAAACAAGACCAGATATGGGTGTGGGAAGGCAAGATAATTGGTTTCAAGTATCTTTCTCAAAGTAGTGGGAAATCAGAATAAATAATTCAAACTTAATTCACAAAAACAAGAGAGGCTTTTAAAGTTTTGTTAATGGGGGAATGATGATTGTGGTAACCAGCCTCCGAGATAGCCCACAATGATTCTAGCTTACTGGTATACATACAATTTTATGGTACCCTCCCCAACCTCATAGTGTACTACAATTTTGTCTTTGTAACTAACTGAATATGGCAGAAGTGATATATACCCCTTCCAAGATTAGATTATAAAACATACTATGATTTCAATCTTGCTCTCTTTCATTTTTTTGTCTCCCTTGCTCATCCCTCACACTTGGGAAGCCATGTCATAAACCCTATGGAGAGGCACACATGATAAAGAACATAAGCCTCCTGCCAACAGCCATGCAGCTAAGATTGAAAGCACATCTTCTAGCTGCAATCAAGTCTCAGACACTATAGCCCACTTAACACCTTGATTGCAACCACATGAGAGACCCTGAACTATAACTGCCCTGCAAAATTTCTCCCAGATTGCTGACTCTCAGAAACTATGTGAATAATAAATGTTTGTTGTTTTTAGGGTGACAAATTTGAACATTATTTGTTATGCAACAATAAATGACTACCACAAAGATGGATGGATTTAATACTATTAAGTTATTCATGTGGCAGTAGAATTCTGGGTAGATTAAGAGAGAAAGCCACAATAAATGAGAAGACCAATTTTAGTAATGTACTATGTACTTTTTATACATTTCCTCATTTAGTGACCCAGGTTATGTTTTAAGAGATATGCTATTTCTATTTTATTTTATTTTGTACTATTACTTTTTTTAACTTTTATTTTGGGTTCAGGGGTACATGTGCAGGTTTGTTACCTGGGTAAACTACATGTCATGAGGGTTTGATGTAGAGATTATTTCATCACCCAGGGAATAAGCATAGTACCTGATACGTAGTTTTTCAATCCTCACCCTCCTCCCATCCTCCACCTTCAAGTAGTCACTGGTGTCTTTTGTTTCTTCTTTGTGTTCATATGTACTCAGTGTTTAGTTTGCCACTTATAAGGGAGGATATGTGATGATTAGTTTTCTGTTCCTGTGTCAGTTTGCTTTGGATAGTGGCCTCCAGCTCCATCCATGTTGCTGCAGAGAACATGATCTCATCCCATTACTGGCTATATACCCAAAGGATTATAAAACATGCTGCTATAAAGACACATGCACACGTATGTTTATTGCAGCACTATTCACAATAGCAAAGACTTGGAACCAATCCAAATGTCCAACAACGATAGACTGGATTAAGAAAATGTGGCACATATACACCATGGAATACAATGCAGCCATAAAACCTGATGAGTTCATGTCCTTTGTAGGGACATGGATGAAGCTGGAAACCATCATTCTCAGCAAACTATCGCAAGGACAAAAAACCAAACACCGCATGTTCTCACTCATAGGTGGGAGTTGAACAATGAGAACACATGGACACAGGAAGGGGAACATCACACACTGGGTCCTGTTGTGGGGTGGGGGGAGGGGGGAGGGATAGCATTAGGAGATATACCTAATGTTAAATGATGAGTCATTGGGTGCAGCACACCAACATGGCACATGTATACATATGTAACAAACCTGCACGTTGTGCACATGTACCCTAAAATTTAAAGTATAATAAAAAAAAAGAACATGATCTCATTCTTTTTTATGGCTGTGTAGTATTACATGGTGTATATGTACCACATTTTCTTTATCCAGTCTAACATTGATGGGCATTTAAGTTGATTCCATATCTTTGCTATTGTGAATACAACTGCAATAAACATACGCATGCATGTGTCTTTAAAGTAGAATGATTTATATTCCTTGGGGTATATTCTTCATAATGGGATTGTTGGCTCGAAAGGTAATCCTGTTTTAAGTTCTGTGAGAAATTGCCAAACTGTTTTCCACAATGGCTGAATTAATTTACATTCCCACAAGCAGTGTATATGCATGCATTCCCTTTTCTCTGCAACCTCGCCAGCATCTGTTATTTTTTTAGTTTTTATTAATAGCCATTCTGACTGATGTGAGGTGGTATCTCATCATGGTTTTGATTTGCATTTTTCTAATGATTAGTGATAGTGAGAATTTTTCATATGCTTGTTGACCACATGTATGTCTTCTTTTGAAAACTGATTATGGGATTTCTGGGTTGAATGGTAATTCTGTTTTAAATTCCTTGAGAAATTGCCATACTGCTTTCCACAATGGCTGAACTAATTTACATTCCCAGAATGTCCTATTTCTAGAATGGTATTTCCTAGGTTATCTTCCAGGGATTTTATAGTTTTAGGTTCCATATACCTCTTGCATTGATTTTGGTATATAGTGAAAGAATGGGGTTCCATTTCAATTTTCTGCATATGGCTAGCCAGTTATCCCAGAACCATTTATTGAATAGGGAGTACTTTCCCCATTGCTTGTTTTGTCCACATTGTCAAAGATCAGGATGGTTGTAGGTGTGTGACATCATTTCTGGGCTCTCTATTCTGTTCTATTGGTCTATGTATCTGCTTTTGTACCACTACCATGCTGTTTTGGTTACTATAGCTTTATAGTACAGTTTGAAGTCAGGTAATGTGATGCTTCCAGTGTTGTTCTTTTTCCTTAGGGTTGCCTTTGCTATTTGGGTTCATTTTTGGTTTCATATCAATTTTAAAATGGACTTTTCTAGTTATGTGAATAATGCTATTGTTAGTTTAATAGGAATCACATTAAATCTGTAAATTGCTTTAGTAAGTATGGCCATTTTAACAATATTGATTCTTTCTATCCATGATCATACGATGTTTTTCTATTTGTTTGTGTCATCTCTGACCTCTTTGAGTAATGTTCTTTAATTCTCATTGTAGAGCTATTTCACCTCCCTTGTTAGTTATATTGATAGGTATTTTATTCTTTTTGTGGCCATTGTTAATGGGATTACATTACTGATTGGCTCTCAGCTTGATGTTGTTATACAGGAATGCTACTGATTTTTGTACATTGATATCGTTTATTCTGAAACTTTGGTGAAGTTTTCTATCAGATCAGGGATGTTTTGGGCAGACACTATGAAGTTTTCTAAGTATAGAATCATATTTTCTGCAGGACTGCATGTTCTAACTCTGGGGAGGTGGTATTGGTCCCCTGGCTTTGTTCTCTGGCCCCTCATGGTTGGGAACCTTTCTAACTCTGTGGAGCTGGTATTGGTCCCCAAGCTTGGTTCTCTGACCCCTCAAGGTTGGGAACCTGCTGTGCTGGCAGGATCTAGGTGTTCCAAGACTGTTGGCCACAGCACTACGATGGGTTGTAAAAGCCAAAACACTTCACTGGGCAGTGGCAGTGAGATCCATGTTTGTTTGCTTACATCAACAACAGTGGCAGCGTGGTGGGTTGTACACTCATCGGCTAGGGTAGGGCACTGGTGGGCCAGGGGCTGCCAGCCTCTTTGTGGGCATTGACAGGAGCAGTGACAGTGCTGGAGGGGGGAGGGGGCTGGGGCCACTGGGGTTCATGTGCACCTTTGCACCTGCAGCTTTATTTTATATTTCTATCTTATAAAAACTTAAATCACTAAGCCACTTGCCCAAGGTCACATAGCTACTAATTAATGAGTCAAAATTTAAAACTTTACCTGTTTATATAAATAAAAGTTGGTTGAATGAATGAATAACTACACGGGTAGACATTTTATGAGTTGTTTAATTTCCTTGTAATACTTTCTCTTGCCTTAAAGAAAATTTGGAAAAATTCCAAATTAATCTTAAGAACTTTCTTGTTTTTGGACTTTTCCCATAAATAAAATCAGAGAAAAGTTTCCACAGAAATATATAATTTTTCATGCTTCACTGGTATAGATATAGTTAAAAATTTCGTAGTACAAGTATTTGTAAACTCTATGTTTAAACTACCCTGTCTGGACTATTATGTATGAGTGATTTCTGGGAAGTGCTTGCTTCTGACCTCTTGAGGTTTCAAGCAATAATACCCATTAAAAAACAAGGTTGAAACTCCTGACCTTGGATTCACTTCAATATAGTTAAAATATCTTAGCCATGAGATCCAAGCAAGGGTGGAATAATCACTCGAATGGAGGAAAAGAAAAAAGAGAAAAAAGCAACAGCAGCAAACAACGGTAACATCAATAAAACTCAATATATAGCATAAACATGCAGCTAAAAAATACTAAGATAAACCATAATGCTTTAGTGTAATACAACAACCGATTTTTTTAAAGGTGTATTTTAAGAGGCAATATAGCTTCATGATTCAGAGCACAGATGCCATAACAAACCTGCCCCTTGTGGACACATGACCTTGGGCAGTTACTTATCCTACATGCAACATATTGAAATGGGGGTGATAATTTTTCTTAATGCATAGCGTTGTTAAGAAAATTAAATGTTAAGATATGCATAGTGTTTTAAAGAGTGGCTAGCATAAACTATTAAAAACGTATTTATCGTCACTAGTATTATTTTGTTTAACTTCAAAGTCACCAGATCCTAATAGGAATGTAAAAAATATGCAGAATTGTAGCACGAAGGGGAGAAGGGAGGCAGCATTTTTCAGGGGAGCTCTGTTGGTTTTGCCTCAAGGAACATATGTGCAAATGATGCTTGAGGGACATACAAATTTGTATGATAATAAATTGCCTCCAAAGAAGAAAATAACAAGTCTACCAGTTAGATTTTATAAATGCCCATCAATGATAATCAGTATATCAGTATAACTCCAAGAAACAAGATGAGAGCAATTGTCCCTTAAATTTCACACTGTAGGTACCTTACTTGGTTTACCCTACTTCTGGCCTTTTGATATGAAGATGCAAAGAAAACACATAGTGGATCTCTGGGGATTCCCAACTGTTAAAACATCCTCCTGTTCTCTAAAGGAACTATGAAAACAAATCCTTGTGAATAATTTCATGCTGTGGTGTTTTCTGTATATTTTAAGGTTTATTTCAGGAATTTGTGGAAATTGAAAAAATGACAGTTGGTACATGCTGCTTGCATTATATTTTAAGAAATCTTCCCTGCTTTTGCTATATTTGCTAGACATAGTGGTTCTAAATATAACTGCCTGGACAAAGTGTTGAACTGCAGAGGTAACACACATGAGAATAATATTCCTACTCTAGACAGACTTCTCCCATTCTCCTATATTTTTTCATTAGTGATTTCCTTCAAATTATTTCTGATCAGTAATCTTGACTGGGAGGTATATATTTATCTTTATAAAATGTCATAAATTATTGGAGAGGAAATTCTATTTTATTTGATACAAATAGTATTTTGTTCCATAGTTAAAACCAAATATATTGTGCTATTTCAACATTTTTATTAGGAAATCACCTTTTGAAGAACTGTTCAATCTAAAGGGACATAAAAAACTCAATGTTGCTTCACATGATAACTGTAAAACCAAAGAGCAGGTAAAAGAGGTAGGCAAACCTTGAAGAAATATAAGGAGACACTTTCTAAAATTGGAGTTGTTAAGGAGTAAGAGTAAAATTAGCTACCTTTTGCCAAACACATGCAATGCACCAAATACTGTGTTAAGAGCTTTGTTATCTTATTCCAACAGTTCAGAAACCTACATCATATGTATTATTAGTATTTTTCTCTTACAAATGGAAAAAAGTTAAGGCTTAAAGTAAATTATGTTTCTCTAAAGCCTTATTCTTTACATACTATATGCAGGATGCTACCAAAGCCACTGGGACAATGCAAAACTTTATCTCCTAGAGCTTAGATATAATGTATTAGACATATGGGGGTGAGAGGTGGGGAGGTCACTGACAACTGAAAAGAAAATTGATGACAAGAAAGTGGAGCTTTGTAAGATCAGTATGAAGAAATAATGGAAAGAAATAAATCTTGGGCTGAACCTGGGCATTCCCAAGGCAGATGAATGATGAAGAAGGAATTTAAAAATTAAAAAAAGAAAGTCTATTCTATTTTGATTTCTACAACAAAACTGTTAATAGCAAGCATTGATTCAAAGACTGTGCACATGGCACCACACTAAGTATTTTGCATGCATTATTTCAGAAACATCATACCCTGTTGGTAGGTACTATTATTATTCTCACTTTGCCAGTGAAAAAACTAAGGTTTTTTATACAAGGTACACATCCAGTCTATACAGTTATTAAGTGATGAATTCTGGGTCAAAGCCAGGTCTATTCATTTACAGAGCTTATCTATGCAGTCAATTATCCAGCTATATTCTATTATTTTATATTCTTGCATTATTTTGATTCTCACAAAAACCTTACGAGATACACATTGATGAATGCAAAACCTAAGACTCAGAAAGGTTAAGGAACAACCCTAGGTCACATGCCTAGTATTCGAACCCAAATTGGATTATATTTATGGTCAAAGGTAAATGAAACATGCACTAAAAATTAAGTACTTTTAAAGCAAACAATTTCCTAAAGAAAAGTGTCTAATCTTTGTTCTTTGGTGAAAGAATATTGTCAGTTTTAAATCACATAAAATACTTTTTTGGGATGCTTCCAATACTGAACAGTTGTTTGTTTCTCACTAAGATCATTTGATATTTATCATCTGAGAACTTATTGATGAGTTCAATGAGAACATCATTTATGAAATGAGATAATTAGTGAATATTTAGTTGTTTTTATTCCAAAAGAAAAAAAAATAATTAAAAGACTTACACAGGAAATTATAGTGTGTTTCTAAAATTGATTTCATATTAATTATATTAATGATTTCCATCTGAGAGCCTGCCACAGACTATCAACTCTGCATGGGCTTATCCTACTTATTTCATATTGATTGTTGTAATAAATATATCATTCCATTGCAAGAGCTAGCATCAGTGCTAATCAGAATGTCACCAAGAATAAAAATAGGAAATGAAGAGATTATACTTGAGCAAAATGACATGATTCATCTGATATCATAAGAATCAATGAATAGTAGTAGAAGACAGATAACACCCTTTGTTACTGTTGTTGGCAAGGATTTTTCTTGTGCTCATCAAACGGATTTTTTTTTCTTTTCTTTTTTTGGAACATGGAAGAATCGGAGAATTTTGTGCAGCACATTCCGCTGCGGCTGACAAATGGATCGAGAGTTAGCTTCCTATACCAGGATGATAATTGGCTTAGAACTTCTCTATTAATAGCAGTAAGTCTGGCCAGAGATTGATGTAGGCACTTCACCCAACATTTCCTTTACTTCTGTTTTTCTTATAGGTGTAGGGCTTTTTTCCTTTCCTTGTTTTTGTGGTTAAATTAAAATATCAAGTTGTATATTTCAAAATGAGGATATATTATATATAACTTTAAAGTTCTTTTAAACAATTTTAAAAAAGGTTTAAAACAGAAATTAAGAGAAAGGTATTTTCTTTATAAATTAATATTACCATATCCCAAATGTATTTGAGAAATGGCAGTGCATCCAAGTTGTCATTTTCCGTCCTACAACTGTGGCAGACATGTAATGGATTTTTGTACTCATTTTCTTTTGAGGCTGGGCAAGGTAGTCACTCCCAAATTACTAACACTGGCTTGGTAAATGGATCTCATTTACCATCCCTGTTCAAAGCGGTGCTGCTGTATTCCAAACACATACTTGTCCTGAGATAATTACATAGCAAAATTTTGGGTTGTGAAATCTTAAGGTGAAAAACAGATTACCAGTGAAATTTGAAAATAATATAGAATCATTAACTTTTTTTGTTGTTTTTTGACTGAGTCTCGCTCTGTAGCCCAGATTGGAGTGCAGTGGTGTGATCTCGGCTCACTGCAACCTCTGCCTCCTGGGTTCAAGAGAGAATTACTAACTTTTTATATCAACTCAGAAGGTTTTCTTTTCTACATGTCAAACTAAACAAGTCTTATGACCCTTCCTATTGCTGAAACATAGATTCAAAGACAAAAACAAGAAACCAAACAAAAAAGAGAAACCTAGGTAGCTGCAGCAAATATTTTGCATGGGTACTCCATATATTGTAGGCATTCAATGGCTTACTATCAACTATTTGTGCTGCTGAGGAATGAGAGTATATTTGAAAACAATATCTTCTGAAGAAGTCAATTATCAAATGCTTAATATTAAAAGTAAGAAAATGTATAAAATGTAAGGCTCTGTAATAACTACCTGAAGCAGAAATGGACTTACAGATACACAAGGCAACAAACTATACTGTAGTAGAGTAGTTGAGGAAAATCAAGTGTAGCAGCAACAAAAACAGGCACCAATATCAGAAATGCCAATTTAAAAAATAATTATTATTTATAAATAAAGAGGTAAAAATGTATATACTTCTCTTTTCAAGAGTAAATTTAGCCTTTTCAGCAACTATTATTATTTTTCCTTCCTTTATAACTTTCTGAGTTATAAAAGACCATGAAATGTCATGGCCTCTACCTGATTGTTACAATCAGATTCTGCAGTTCAGGCTGAGCAAGTACAAGTCAACAATTCCTCAAGAACAATGATTCTTTGAATACCATTGTCTTACACAAATACCAGTAAAGGTAGAATTGGTATAAGAAGCTGGTGGGAACTAAATTAGATAGAGAAATATGAAATGAGAATGAGAGTCTTGAAACCTGAAATCTGAGCAAATACAAAAAAAAATATGAGGTCTTTCTGCAATTCCTAGTAATAGAAAGTCCTTTGATTTCTTTCTTGTCATTTTAATTTAGAAAATATAACACTTGCAGTTATTAGTACTGACTCAGGAAAAACACTAAAATGATTTGAAACCTAGCTTCTCTTAAAAGTTCTGTGATTTTAGATGAATTATTCAAATTTTCTGATTTTTAATTTATTTATTTTTAGTGTGAGAAATAATAGTGCTTAACTCATAAGGTTGTTATAAGGGTTAAATGAGGTTAATATGGCACATGCTGAGCAAAATATCTGGCATGTAATTAAATGCTCAATAAATGTTAGCTGATACAGATGTTAATACTTCTGTGCACAACTTGCACTAGCTTCTCCTCATTCTGTCTGATCCTACATCCTCTCCCTCCTCATCCTCTTAGCTCTTGGAGTCCTGAATCTCTCCTGTAATTATAATACATTTTCAATCTCTTCTTCAGTCCTTGGTTTTCTCTGGTGACTCAGCCTCCCTTTGACATCTGTTTGTTTTGTGCCTTGTTCCATATTCAATCTCTCCTAGTTGCATACTGTTCCCAGATTGTCATCTACACACATAGCTCCACTTCCTCCCTAGCAGGAAGCCTATGCCTTCTCTTTCTGCACCTTGTGTGTGTATGGACATGGCCCTGATCCATGTCCATAGAAACTAGAACACAGATTATTTCATAGATAGAACCACCATGACGACAGAGGAGGCTACTTATAGTATAACAACTTAGTTAAAAAAGAAAAAAATAATAATATACTGAACTATGTTATAATAGCAACTGCAGCAATAAAATTTAAACCTGAAAGTAGCGAATGTTAATTTATCTCTTGCTTGGATTTCATGGCCATCTTGGGATGGCAGAGGGCTCTGCTTGATATTGTTCTAATCAAGGATTAGATTAGGTTGTCAGAGGGCCATGCTTTGTATTGTTCTAATCAAGGATCCAGGCTGATAAAGCACTCCTATTTGGAACTTTAGTTGTTGCCATGTTTAGTAAAGGAGCTGCAGACCGGTGCTGTTCCTATTCAGCCAACTGGACCCCTTCCTTACACCTTTTACAAAAATCAACTCAAGATGGATCAAAGACTTAAACGTAAGTCCTAGGACCATAAAAATCCTAGAAGAAAACCTGGGCAATACCATTCAGGACATAGGCATGGTCAAAGACTTCATGTCTAAAACACCAAAAGCAATGGCAACAAAAGTCAAAATTGACAAATGGGATCTAATTAAACTAAAGAGCTTCTGCATAGCACAAGAAACTATTATCAGAGAGAACAGGCAACCTACAGAATGGGAGAAAAATTTTGCAATCTATCCATCTGACAAAGGGCTAATATCCAGAATCTACAAAGAACTTAAAGAAATTTACAAGCAATAATCAAACAACCCCATCAAAAAATGGGCAAAGGATATGAACAGACACTTCTCAAAAGCAGACATTTATGTAGCCAACTGACATGTGAAAAAATGTTCACCATCACTTGTCATTAGAGAAATGCAAATCCAAAACCACAATGAGATACCATCTCACACCAGTTAGAATGGCGATCATTATAAAGTTAGGAAAAAACAGATGCTGTTGTGGAAAAATAGGAACGCTTTTACACTGTTGGTGGGAGTGTAAATTAGTTTAACCATTGTGGTAGACAGTGTGGTGGTTCCTGAAGGATCTATAATTGGAAATACCATTTGACCCAGCAATCCCATTACTGAACATATACCCAAAGGATTATAAACCATTCTACTATAAACACACATGCACATGTATGTTTATTGTGGCACTATTCATAATAGCAAAGACTTGGAATCAACCCAGATTCCCATCAATGATAGACTAGATTAAGAAAATGTGGCACATACACACCATGGAATACTATGCAGCCATAAAAAAGGATGAGTTCATCTCCTTTGCAGGGACATGGATGAAGCTGGAAACCCTCATTCTCAGCAAACTATCACAAGATCATAAAACCAAACACCACATATTCTCACTCATAAGTGGGAGTTGAACAGTGGGAACACATGGAAACAGGGAGGGGAACATCACACACTGAGGCCTGTCAGGAGGTGGGGTGTCAGGGGAGGAATAACATTAGGAGAAATACCTAATGTGGGTGACGGGTTAATGGGTGCAGCAAACCACCAGGGCACATGTATACCTATGTAACAAAACTGCACGTTCTGCACATGTAACCCAGAACTTAAAGTGCATATATATATATATATATATATATATATATATATATATATATATATGAGTAAAGGAACAGTCCTCACATACAAGTAGCACAAGACACTCCATCTTACATTTTATTAGTGAGAGCAAGTCGCAAGTCCATGCCTAACTCCAAGGAATCTCAGAAGTTCTATCCTACTATTTGTCTAGAATAATAGTAAACAGCACTAATGACTACAAAATTGCAAACCAATATAATAGACTATGACTCCTGAGAGCATAAAATGTATTTTATAAATCTTTACATTCACTTCCTCAAACAAAAACTTTGCCATAGTTGCTATACAATAAATTCTTCGGTAATGACTAAATAAATGATCTCATATATTGGATCATAAAAATGAATCCAAAGTTTTATTATGCTAACAGATGCAATATATAATGTTAATAGCATTAACAGTTTTAGAAGAGCTTATTTACCCAGAATGTTTATGTACACATTCATTTTTGCTTTGTAAATTAAAACAAATTAAAATTATTCAAATCCAACCCCGAGATTATTAAGTTTTTTTCTGAATTATTGTACCATACAAAATAATATAAAGCACTCTTGGGACTTTGCCAGAGTTTTCCATTGAGATCTTCCTCCAAAATTACTCTAGCTTTAAATTGCTTAACTTGCTATCGGAGAACATTCATATCGAAAGCTGTTAATCATGAGCACTATAGTAATATGAAGGCATTTAATGTTTTTTCCCCTCTGTGGGAGATTAGGTGTCATGTTATCACACCATAATCATTACTTTGAGTGCATATTTTAATTCTCTTCTCTCCACCAATACACAACTTCTTCTAGGCTTGTAACGTAACCTCTATGTGCCTATTTCCATTTCTGGGGGAAGTTATTGTTATTGAATTTCTACTATGGCTCAATTCTAGTGGTTTTTAGACTCATACTTGACCTGATAGAATGAGTCATGAATGAACAGAAACATGCTGAAAGTGTCATATGTGAATGTTGCAAATAATTAAGACTCAGTATTAATGAAGGGGAATTACTATGCTGTGCTATCAAAAGAAGCTTCGTGATTTAGAAATCCTGAGTATTGCTAAGCTATTATAAGAAAATAAGAACTGCAATGAAAGAGAAAAACCAAAGTACTTTTTAAAAAATTGTGTTACTAAAACAGTTTATAGAAAATAAAAATAAACACTTTAAATGCAAACTTTCTTTGATCATCTCTATGTTCTAACCCTTTATTTTGATGACTTTATAGTTTAACATGATATACCTGTCACTTAAACAAAATTTCATTCTCCCTTCTGAGTAATTAGGCTACAAACAAAGCAAACAAAGCCAGCTAAACCATGAAAAATTATTGCTATTCTCTCCCTTCACAAGACTCTTTTTAAGCATTTGGAGGTAAGAAAAAGCTTTGCGCAGGAAAAACTGGAAAAGAAAATGTTTTTCTTCATTTATCTAATACTGGGTTCTTTCTTCTTCTTTACTCTATAAAGTCCTGCATTCTGCTCATCTGCCACCAAAAAAAGTCACGTTCCCCATTAAAATTTCCATGACCTTTTTTTTTTACTTTCTGTAGATTCTACTTCCCAAATTTGTCGAAAAGTTTAAAGGTTGTTTGATGGCTGTTTTCAGTTGTTACTCTTTCCATACATTAATTTTATTAGGAAAATTTGCCATGTTAGTCTAAATATAAAACAGGATAAAGAAATGTTCAATTGTGAATTTTTGTAATTCCCTGATTTCTAAGGATGAGGTTTCCTACTTGCAGGGTAAAACCCGGAAACTTTCATGATTATGAAGAATCTGGGAAGCAGAGAAAAAGGAACACTGAACAAGGCAGAAGCTACCTGGGTCTGTATAATAAAGAGCTAAGCCAGAGACAAACGAGGTAAGACACAAGGAATTTTGGAGAAGCTTATAGTAAAGCAGTTGCTGTGAAATATTGAGAGAGAGAGAGAGAAACAGAAAAGAGAGAGAGAAAAAGGAGAGAAGGTATCAGAAATCGAAGAGGGGACATCACTACAGATCCTTAAGGCATTAAAAGGTAATAATGAAACAACTGTGAACAACTTATGGCAACAATTTTTCCATGGCATTTCTGTGGATACATATGTAAATATGTATATACATATCTAGCTGTACTGTATTTTTAGCTGTACTAGAAAGCTACACATACTTTTTCTTAAGTGGTTGTACCTTTTTATGCTTCTATCAGCTGCATGTGAAAGGTCTACTTGCCACACATCATTGCCAAAAACTTAGTGTTGTCAATCTCTCTGATTTTACCCTTTCTGATGAATGTGTCCAGATATAGCATGGTGACTTTAATTTGTGCTTCTCTTATTTTAATAACATTGAGAGCCTCTTCATACATTTATTGGTAATTTGGATATCCTCTTCTGGTCTCTTGCTCATTGTCTGTTAGAGTTATTGTCTTTTCCTTCTTGATTTGTAGAAGTCTTTTTTTTTAATTGTTCATGATACAAGTCCTTTGCTAATTATATTCAGTATTTTAAATATTTTCTAATTCTGTAAATTGCCTTTATACTCTCCAAATTGTGTCTTTTGATGAAAAGAAGTTTCTAATTTTAGTATAGTTTATTTTATCAATGATTTTATTTATAGTTACTATTTTTTATATCCTGTTTAGGAAAGTTACGCCTATCCTAAAGTCATGAAAGCCGTACAGTTCTTTTTTTACAGCTAAAAATCATGTTTAATTGATTTTTGTTTATCATTATGAGAAAAGGGCTGATGTTGATATTTTGTTTCATCTTGACAATATTATTCTTTTTTGACTGCTCTGCAGGGCCACTATCATGACAAATTGTGTCCACATAGGTATAAGATTGTTTCTGGACTCTCTAATCTCTGCCACTGGTCTATGTTTCTATCCTTGCACAATTGTCATAGCACTTTTTAAAATCATATGTTTATAATGAAGCTTTGTGTTTGGGTAGTTTAAGTGCTATAACTTTTTTCTCTTCAAAACTATCTTGATTATTATTTCTGTATTTTTATATAAATTTAAGAATTAGCATTTCAGTTTCTCTGAAAAAAAAACCGAGATTTTTCTTGGAACTGCATTTAGCTTATAAATCGTGTTTGGGGAAGCAAATCTTTTTGATGATATAAACCTTAAAATCCATAAATGTTACATATTTTCCCTATTTATTTAGATTTCTCTAATTTCAAATAATTCATCATAATAGTGGCCTGACATCTCTTTTGGTAAAGTCATTCCAGATAGTTAATAAGGAATTAGTACAACTTGCTAGAAGAGCTAAATTGTTGCTGAGGCATAAAGTATGAATAAGAGCCAGCTTGACTAGACGGCATTGGAGGGGTGATCTGTGGGAGATATTCAAGCAGCTGATAGGGCTTGAATACAAGAGAGACTGTGGAAAATTGGGAAACACAACACAAAGTTTCATTATAAATGTGTGGTTTTAAAAAGTGCTATGATAATTGTGCAAGGATAGAAACATAGTCCAGTGACACAGACTAGAGGGTTCAGAAACAATCTCATACATATGTGGATACAATTTGTCATGATAGTGGCCCTGCAGAGCAGTCAAAAAATAATTGGGAAACTGGGAGGGGCTTTAGTATGACTGAAAAAAGTAGTTTAATATGATTGATTATACTAATATACATTATTTGGATACAACTATTTGAATGTTTACTATTATTGCTTGACATGAAAAGCTTTGTACTAGAAAACATAATAACAATCCTTATTTTTCTCAATGTAACAAGTTATTCAGTGAGAAACTGTTGTTGCTAAGTGATGGATTTAGGCAATTTCTTCCCATAAAACTCCTGAATGTACCGTCGTATTACTGGTTTGATAAGTTAAATAGTAACTTCATGAGCCCTATATACTTAATGTATTTCCCCAGTTTGTCTTACTAAGAGACAGACAGTGAGACTTTGGGTCTCACTATAAGAGGCTCTCTAACTTAATACCATATAATGTGTAAATACCATATGATACAGCATTTGCAAATAAATTTAAAAATATATAGAGCACATTAAGAGATTTCAAGTTAATTAATTTATTATATTAATTGTAATAGTGAGAGAAATGTTAAACCCTTGTTCTGAAGCAGATGTGCCTTATGTTACACAACTGCTCATTTCTTCATTATTTTGAAAAACAGGCAATAATACATGTCTGTGAAATAAGAGCAACTGATAAATAAATGAATGTAGGGGCAGGGGGACAAGAACAAAGTTCTAAAGGAATAAATATTTTGGAAATGTAGTGTAAAATCCTTGCCGTTTTCTTCAGTGTGAACACAGAGTTGCAGGAATCAAAATCACGTAAATCATTAGGAGGCATGAAAAGTGTTGGTGATAAAATATACAAACATGGGAAAGGCAAGTTTGAGGTATTTTAGATTGGAAATATTTTGGAAGAAAGACTATAAAAGATGCAAATAATTTGCCATATATATTCAGAATGAAACTTAAAATGTCTTAGTAGAATGATATTTATGGAATGTGGACTGCTGTTAAAACAAAGTCCACTTACAATTATTTTTTATCAGCATTTGGTATTGTGATACAAGTGTTCTATCACAGGGTAATAGTATCTTGAATTCATACAAGTCAACATTCATTGAAAGCCATTAAGGTTGTTTTAAGATTTTGTGAATTGCTGGAGCAACTGACATTCTGTTCTCATCAAATACTTGAAGCAGGTGGCAGTATGGTTTGATAAAATTACATAAACTTGGGGTAAGGAGACCAGGGTTCCAACACCAGCTCTGATTCATATTAGTTGTTTGGCCTTAGGCAAACTACACGGATTCTCCTAGTTTTCTTGAGAAACGAGAAAGTTCCTTTTAAACCTATGAGTGTATAATTTTTAAAACCTGATTGCAAAATGTATCTATTTTTTCATGTAATGTAAGTACAGTTAGCAGGCTAAGGAATTAGTTATAGTCTAGAGCTACTCTCTTTACAAACATGTAGAGGCCATTCTTTGCGGAGAGTTATTTCAAAGGACAAAACTATGAGAAAACCACACATTTGGAGGAGCAACCTGCCTTGCTGAGAATGATTTAACTGTCACCTGTGCTACCTGATAAGATTTAGTTGAAGACTAAAGTAGCCCTGCTAATTTCAAAATCCTCTCTCACTGTCAAGTTAGTGTTTGCAGCATTTCATCAGTTAAGACCAGCTCTCTTTTATAATTAGCAAGGCTGCAGATGGATGCCCATCCAGGACACCTTCGTCTGCTTATTCCAGCCTGGGTATATACAAAGTCTGCTGGAGCCTGAGGCTATTCCCAGGAAATTAAGTGGAACCGTCTTCATTCGACTAGCCTATCTTTCACAACAGGCACATGTTGATTAAATGTTATTTCCATTTTATTTTTACTTCCTTCTCACCCTCTGTTTCTATTGTCCAGTTAAAACAACTTCACTGCCTTAGAAATTATTATTAAAAACTAATCACTAAAATAAATTCTTCCAGGGTCACTTTTTAAATTTTTAGTCCACTCTGAGATGTGACAAATAATATTTTTAATACCAGTTATTTTATGTAAATACTATTCCAACTGTAGGTTTTTCATAATCAGAAAAGATTTAGCAATATTTAGATTTCAGTTTATAATTCTAGTGTTTCTTAACCATTTTCTAGCATTCTCAAAACAGTATATAGACAGTCACCAATTTAATTAAGAATCCTATTTGGGAGAAGCACTGAAAGTAGAAAGATCATCAGAAAATAAGCCATTGAGGGATTAATGCAAATATAAGTAAATCTTAAATAGAAAAAAGAAAGCCATGCAAAGAAATTTCACATTCTCAGTAGAGCTGAGATTAGCTGATTAGCTGATCTTGACAGCTTATCTCATGAGTACTGACTCAGGATTTTTCACAAGGTACTTGAAATTGTTTTCATTTCTACATAAAAGATACAAATCAATTATCTTCAGTTATGCACCTGGATTTATAAAACACACTACTGGAATTATTGAAATTATTAGTCTCAGAAAAAAAATTCATAATCAAATGCACTTCAAACTATCATTTGTCAAAGATTAGACATCTTTGTGATAGCTTTCAATAAATTTTTGAAAATGCCTGTAGGTGTCACAAAGATCAGTTAAGGAAAAGCAGAAAGGAAGACTGAGGTTGCATGCGCAATTTCACATTACCCAGCCATAACTTTTTTTTTAGCTTATGAAATACATCCTTGCTGAGGATGCATATTTTTGTAGTTGTTCTCTATAAATGAGAAATCTAAGATTCTATTAGCTATTCATGAATACCTTCATACACAACCTTGTCCATTTCTTTCTTACCTTTTAAATTCTCAGTGCAATGACAAACTCAGTGCGGACTTTGGCAGTGGTCCACAGAGCTCTTTAATTTTATTTGACTTTCTACCTATGAAAATAGTTATTTGACTTTCTACCTATGAAAATAAGAAAAGACTAACATTCATAACTAAAAGCATTAATTATGGTATTTTTATGAGAAAATAATTATAGTAGACGATAAATAGTGGCCATGACATAAATCACATATCAAAAAATGTTACTGCATTCTATCTTTAAATACTTTTTAATGCTATGAGAAAATGTTCATTAAATCTTAAATAAGACAATGGTATACAATAATATGAACCTATATCACAATACTATATACATGTGTAATATGTTCTTTATGAAACAGAACATATATTAGATAAATTAAAATAGAATTATTAATTATAGTTATGCTTTGATTTTATGAGCAATATGGGATTTTTAAATTGTATTTTCTAAGATTGCTACAATTTTATATATTAATTTTACAACTTCAAGAAAAGAAAGCAATATGCATCTCTGAGGCACTGGATTAGCCAGGTGTTTCAAGTCTCTACCCAGTATGTTGAGATTTTATCTATGTCAGCTTCTGGAGAAATGTTTAAAAATACAGATTCTAGAGCTCCTAGCACAGACTCATTTTAGCAGTGATTACTGGCAACCAGTATTTAAGTAAAAACATCGTGGAGATTCTGGGGTTAGCCAGATATAGGAAAGCCAAGTCTAAATAGCAAAGGCAGATGGTTAATGACCAAATCATTGAGAAGCATTGCCGGCAGGTGCCTAAGATGCGGTCTATTAGAAATGCCTAGGATTTCCTTGGCTATGCAGGGTCTTTTATGGTTCTATACAAATTTTAAACTAGTTTTTTCTAGTTCTGCGAAGAATTTCATTGGTAGTTTGATAGGAACAGCATTGACTATAGATTGCTTTGGGCAGTATAGCCATTTTAATGAAATTGATTCATCCTATCCATAAGCATGGGATGTTTTTCCATTTGTTTGTGTCCTCTGATTTCTTTGAACGATGTTTTGTAATTTTCATTGTAGAGATCTTTCTCCTCCCTGGTTGGCTGTACTCCTAGGTATTTTATTCTTTTTGTGGCAATTGTGAATGTGGTTGCTTTCCTGATTAGGCTCTTGGTTTGGCTGTTGGTGGTGTATAGGAATGCTAGTGATTTTTGTACATTGATTGTGTATCCTGAAACTTTGCTGAAGTTGCTTATCAGATGAAGGAGCTTTTGGGCCGAGACTACAGGGTTTTCTAGATATAGAATCATGTCATCTGCAAATAGGGATAGTTTGACTTCCTCTATTCCTATTTGGATGCCTTTTATTTCTTTCTCTTGCCTGATTGCTCTGGCTAGGACTTCCTAGATTATGCTGAACAGGAGTGGTAAGAGAGGGCCTCTTGTTTTGTGCCGGTTTTCAAGGGGACTCCTTCCAGGTTTTGCCCATTCAGTATGAGGTTGGCTGTGGGTCTGTCATAAATGGCTCTTATTATTCTGAGGTATGTTCCTTCAATACCTAGTTTATTGAGAGCTAGTAACATTAATAGGCTGTTATCCTTAGCAAAGTAATGGAGGAATAGAAAACCAAATACCACATATTCTCACTTAAAAATCAGAGCTAAACAATGAGAACTCATGATCACAAAGAAGGGAACAACAGACACTGGCGACTACTTGAAAATGGAGGGTAGGAGGAGGGAGAAGAGCAGAAAACAAAATTATTGGGTACTGAACAATACCCCATATTGGGTATTTCATCACCTGGGTGATGAAATAGCTTGTACAACAAACCCCATGACATGAGTTCACTTATGTAAAAAACCTTCACATGGACCATCAAACCTAAAATAAAAGTTTTTTTTTTTTTTAAGAGATGTCTTATTTCAAAGGAGATGCAAAACCAAAAGCTGTACAGCTTTTCACACAGACTAAACAGGAGCCCTGGCAGCCTCAGTTCTAGCACTTCCTCATTACCCTGCTCCCAAAGTGAAAGATTTTGATCTTCATGACCTCTTTAAAATTCCTGTTCTTTCTTGCCAATGTCTGCATCTACTCCCCACTGGAGGATGGATAAAATAAACTCATAGCATTTCAAGCAGCCAGTGGGCATCAGACAATGACAATTCTTAGAACTTTTACCTACAAATCAGTTCACCTAGAAGTGTAAAGACTCTGGAGTCTTTCCTCTTGCTTAGAGATCTGTATTTCACAGACTTCTGAGAAAAGTAGGCTATAAAATGATTGAATATTCACTTGCTGCTTTTAATGTATTACTTATGTATGAGAATGTATAATTTGAGAAATAAAAAGTGAATTGAAAGTTGGGTAATTAAATATACAGTTCTTTGTTCAATTTTTAAACATAACATTTCCATTTTTTACCAGTATTAAATAGATCAGCTAACTGATAGGCTGAGGAAAAGATGAAAATCTTGAGAGAGAAGACAGCTACAGTGACTTTTTATTGAAATTTATTCTAACAAAGAAAATGTCGATTTTGTAGTTTCAATTCAAATTTTGTTTTATTTATACTTAATGTAGGTAAGACTTGTGCTAGATCTATGTTAAGCAGGAGCTCCATTTTGATATGCTGTCTCTCTCTCAGGCCAGTATGACAGATACTAGAAGTGAGGGATTCTGAAAGCATGGTCTGGTGTAGTTGTGCTTTAGGTCAACATGCATTACACTTATTTAGCAGATGAAAAATTGAAACTTATGAAACAAGGAAAATTTTTTGATTTAAGTAAATTAATGAGTACCATGAGGGGAGCCAGGACCCATCTTTCCTGGCATCTCTCATATTATGCTGGTAGATATTTTTACATTTCTGTAGTTTCAAAAAACAAAAATGAAAATCAGGAAAGTAGAAGCTAATAGTATTGGATACACTTTGTCAGGAAAAAGAATATGCAGATAAAATTTTAAATGATACCAATTTCCCTTTCTCCTAAACAATGCATCTTTTTACATGCAATGTATTAAGAAGTGCTGCCATGCTCTCCCCTGGACTATGCAAATAATCAGAAACTATTTGTAGCTCATTTGTTCCAGGAAGATGACAGATGAAGGTTTAAATCTGAAACATGTGACTAGCAGCCAACTACTGTTTTCATTAGGCTAAATGGGAATTTCAAAATACAATCACATAAACAGGAATTTAAAATTTCTATTAAATTACAAAAATATTAGGTCATATAACAAAAATAGGAGGAAGAATGCTAATGGAGAAATTATATTAAATATATGTGTACAAAAATTTCTATTAAGAAAGGTTCACTTATGTATTAATTTATTAATTTATCCTGAATATTGATTGAATATTTTATATATTCTATGTGTAGTGACCTACACAGGTTAATCATGATAAATAAAGCAGGCAATATCCTTATGCTCATGGAAATTATAGTGCAATAGAAATAACAGATTTTTTAAAATCTCACAAGTAAATAATGATAAAATATGAGTGCAATGAAGGAAAAGCACTACTTATTAGAGATTTCAAGAGGAAGACCAAATTTACGTTGAAAGTAAACAAAGTTTCCACAATAAATCAGTAGGAATTACTTTTAAAAATATCACGAGTGTATGTGTGCATGTATTTATTTCAGGCAAGAGAATAAATATGCATTTCAGCTAGAAATTATTGTATTGCCTGAAAACCCGGAAATGAGTCTGACCATTTGGAACAACTGAAATAATAAACAAAACAAAACAGAATAGTGAAGTTGGACCATCGCAAGAGACAAGAGGGAAAAAATAATAATGGTGTAGGCAGTTACCATACTGTGGCAAAATCTCATGAAATTTTAAATATATTTTCTCAATGTAGTAAGAAGCCATTGAAGATTTTTACGTAAGGATGATTTGACAGAACTCGCTAAACAATAATCAAATAATTTAGTGACTCATTCAAACCAATAGCAATCTAAAAACTATACTACTACCTCAAAAACACTTCTCTCTATTGCGGGGCACCAACCCTAACCCAGAGAACAACCATGACATCTGTTTTTACCAGAAAGCTTTCTGGGTTTGGCTTATCAACTACATCAGTAAACTGCATACTGATCTCTGGCCCTGGGGAGATTTCTGCTGAAAAGCAGGCTGTTAGCAAACATTTACAAATTCAGCTTTCTCAAAAAGCCTTTTTATAATAACTATTAGTATCAAAAGTCTGCTTGGTTGTAATTTCTTCTCCTACCTGTTTTAGGAGACCCTGAAATCAACACTCTCAGAAAATACTGAGAACACTTCATGGTATCAGAAAAATTTTGAATGTCTTTGAGAACAGGTAGATGACACAACCTCTACAACTAGTTCTTCCAGTGAATGTTGTCAGTGGAAAAATATCTTATTATTTAAACCTTTGCAAAATAAATGCTGTAAATAGGTGTTTCCATCTTTCTCTTAGTCCATAGTAAAACAACTGTAAAACATGGTTTGCATGTGTTTGCTGCTGAGTGGTATGTCCACCTGCTTCAGCACCAGTAGCATTTGCAGATCCAACAGACTCCCATCATTTTGTACTCTGTCATTTTTAGTACCATCTGGCAGTGTTTTTGCTGAAACACTTTTCTCAAAATCTTGGGTGGAGGGGTGGTCTTCACTGGATTTTGATGGTGTTCACATCAGTATACAAAGGCCACATCCACATTTATTTTTCATGATAATCCTTTCTCTATGTTTGGGTTATTTTGAGATGGCTGAGGGGCCTCAAGATTCCTAGAGGCCTTACAGTTTGATTGAGAGGATTTGTGAAGCCCACGCTTAGTCTCTTGAAAGGGCCCTCTGTGACTGAATATTGTGACCTTTTGATCTTTCTCAGGTTTGAGAAAAAGGTTGTATAGGTACACCCATTTTTCTATGCCACATTTGTGGAAGAAATTTCTTAATTTTAACAGCCTTTGCCATAAGGACAGGCCAAGAATTTTCAAAACCATCAGTCCTTAGATCCTTTTGATTTAATAGTTCGTCCCTTAATTAACTTCTCTTCTTTCACATTTTATTATAAGCAGCAAG